>NC_000022.11:13885243-14185243 GCF_000001405.40 Homo sapiens
CAAATCTAGACAGAGAAGCATTCTCAGAAACGTCTTTGTGATGTTTGCATTCAACTCATAGAGTTGAACATTCCCTTTCAGAGAGCAGCTTTGAAACACTCTTTTTGTAGTATGTGCAAGTGGATATTTGGAGCGCTCTGAGGCCTACGGTGAAAAAGCAAATATCTTCCCATAACCACTAGACAGAAACATTCTCAGAAACTCCTTTATGACGTATGCACTCACCTAACAGAGAAGAACCTTCCTTTTGACTGAGCAGTTTTGATACACTCTTTTTGTAGAATCTGCAAGTGGATATTTGGATAGCTGTGAAGATTTCGTTGGAAACGGGAATATCTTCTTATAAAATCTAGACAGAAGCATTCTCAGGGAACTGCTCTGCGATGTCTGTATTCAAGTCACAGAGTTGAACATTGCCTTTCATAGAGCAGGTTTGAAACGCTCTTTTTGTAGTATATGGAAGTGGACGTTTCGGACGGTTTGAGGCCCATGGTGATAAAGGGAATATCTTCCCCTACAAGCTAGAAAGAAGCATTCTGTGAAACTTGTTTTTGATGTGTGTACTCAACTAACAGAGTTGAACCTTTCTTTTTACAGAGCAGTTTTGAAACACTCTTTTTGTAGAATCTGCGAGGGGATATTTGGATAGATTTCAGGATTTCGTTGGAAACGGGAATATCTTCATATAAAATCTCGACAGAAGCATTCTCAGAAACTTCTTTGTGATATGTGCATTCAAGTCACAGGTTTGAATATTCCCTTTCACAGAGTAGGTTTGAAACACTCTTTTTGTAGTATCTGGAAGTGGATATTTGGAGCGCCTTGACGCCTAAGGTGAAAAGGGAAATATCTTCCCATAAAAACTAGACAGAAGCAATCTCAGAATCTTCTTTGGGATATATGCACGCAGCTAACAGAGTTGAACCGTTCTATTGACAGAGCAGTTTTGAAACAGTCTTTCTGTGGAATCTGCAAGTGGATATTTGGATAGCTTGGAGGATTTCGTTGGAAACGGGATTACATATAAAAAGTAGACAGCAGCATCCTCAGAAACTTCTTTGTGATGTGTGCATTCAAGTCACAGAGTTGAACATTCCCTTTCGTACAGCAGTTTTGAAACACTCTTTCTGTAGTATCTGGAAGTGAACATTAGGACAGCTTTCAGGTCTATGGTGAGAAAGGATATATCTTCAAATAAAAACTAGACAGAAGCATTCTCATAAACTTGTTTGTGATGTGTGAACTCTGCTAACAGAGGTGGATCTTTCTTTTGATAGAGCAGTTCTGAAAAACACTTTTTGTTGAATCTGCAAGTGGACATTTGGATAGATTTGAAGATTTCGTTGGAAACGGGAATATCTTCATATCAAATTTTGACAGAAGCATTCTCAGAAACGTCTTTGTGATGTTTGCATTCAACTCATAGAGTTGAACATTCCCTTTCACAGAGCAGCTTTGAAACACTCTTTTTGTAGTATGTGCAAGTGGATATTTGGAGCGCTCTGAGGCCTACGGTGAAAAAGCAAATATCTTCCCATAACCACTAGACAGAAACATTCTCAGAAACTCCTGTATGACGTGTGCACTCACCTAACAGAGAAGAACCTTCCTTTTGACAGAGCAGTTTTGATACACTCTTTTTGTAGAATCTGCAAGTGGATATTTGGATAGCTGTGAAGATTTCGTTGGAAACGGGAATATCTTCCTATAAAATCTAGACAGAAGCATTCTCAGAAACTACTCTGTGATGTCTGCATTCAAGTCACAGAGTTGAACATTGCCTTTCCTAGAGCAGGTTTGAAACGCTCTTTTTGTAGTATATGGAAGTGGACGTTTCGGACGGTTTGAGGCCCATGGTGATAAAGGGAATATCTTCCCCTACAAGCTAGAAAGAAGCATTCTGTGAAACTTGTTTGTGATGTGTGTACTCAACTAACAGAGTTGAACCTTTCTTTTTACAGAGCAGTTTTGAAACACTCTTTTTGTAGAATCTGCGAGGGGATATTTGGATAGATTTCAGGATTTCGTTGGAAACGGGAATATCTTCATGTAAAATCTCGACAGAAGCATTCTCAGAAACTTCTTTGTGATATCTGCATTCAAGTCACAGAGTTGAATATTCCCTTTCACAGAGTAGGTTTGAAACACTCTTTTTGTAGTATCTGGAAGTGGACATTTGGAGCGCCTTGACACCTACGGTGAAAAGGGAAATATGCTTCCCATAAAAACTAGACAGAAGCAATCTCAGAATCTTCTTTGGGATATATGCACGCAACTAACAGAGTTGAACCTTTCTATTGACAGAGCAGTTTTGAAACAGTCTTTCTGTGGAATCTGCAAGTGGATATTTGGATAGCTTGGAGGATTTCTTTGGAAATGGGATTACGTATAAAAAGTAGACAGCAGCATCCTCAGAAACTTCTTTGTGATGTGTGCATTCAAGTCACAGAGTTGAACATTCCCTTTCGTACAGCAGTTTTGAAACACTCTTTCTGTAGTATCTGGAAGTGAACATTAGGACAGCTTTCAGGTCTATGGTGAGAAGGGAAATATCTTCAAATAAAAACTAGACAGAAGCATTCTCATAAACTTGTTTGTGATGTGTTAACACAGCTAACAGAGGTGGATCTTTCTTTTGATAGAGCAGTTCTGAAAAACACTTTTTGTTGAATCTGCAAGTGGACATTTGGATAGATTTGAAGATTTCTTTGGAAACGGGAATATCTTCATATCAAATCTAGACAGAAGCATTCCCAGAAACGTCTTTGTGATGTTTGCATTCAACTCATAGAGTTGAACATTCCCTTTCAGAGAGCAGCTTTGAAGCACTCTTTTTGTAGGATGTGCAAGGGGATATTTGGAGTGCTCTGAGGCCTAAGGTGAAAAAGCAAATATCTTCCCATAACCACTAGACAGAAACATTGTCAGAAACTCCTTTATGACGTATGCACTCACCTAACAGAGAAGAACCTTCCTTTTGACAGAGCAGTTTTGATACACTCTTTTTGTAGAATCTGCAAGTGGATATTTGGATAGCTGCGAAGATTTCGTTGGAAACGGGAATATCTTCCTATAAAATCTAGACAGAAGCATTCTCAGAAACTGCTCTGTGATGTCTGCATTCAAGTCACAGAGTTGAACATTGCTTTTCCTACAGCAGGTTTGAAACGCTCTTTTTGTAGTATATGGAAGTGGACGTTTCGGACGGTTTGAGGCCCATGGTGATAAAGGGAATATCTTTCCCTACAAGCTAGAAAGAAGCATTCTGTGAAACTTGTTTGTGATGTGTGTACTCAACTAACAGGGTTGAACCTTTCCTTTTACAGAGCAGTTTTGCAACACTCTTTTTGTAGAATCTGCGAGGGGATATTTGGATAGATTTCAGGATTTCGTTGGAAACGGGAATATCTTCATATAAAATCTCGACAGAAGCATTCTCAGAAACTTCTTTGTGATATGTGCATTCAAGTCACAGAGTTGAATATTCCCTTTCACAGAGTAGGTTTGAAACACTCTTTTTGTAGTATCTGGAAGTGGACATTTGGAGCGCCTTGACGCCTACGGTGAAAAGGGAAATATCTTCTCATGAAAACTAGACAGAAGCAATCTCAGAATCTTCTTTGGGATATATGCACGCAGCTAACAGAGTTGAACCTTTCTATTGACAGAGCAGTTTTGAAACAGTCTTTCTGTGGAATTTGCAAGTGGATATTTGGATAGCTTGGAGGATTTCGTTGGAAACGGGATTAAGTATAAAAAGTAGACAGCAGCATCCTCAGAAACTTCTTTGTGATGTGTGCATTCAAGTCACAGAGTTGAACATTCCCTTTCGTACAGCAGTTTTGAAACACTCTTTCTGTAGTACCTGGAAGTGAACATTAGGACAGCTTTCAGGACTATGGTGAGAAAGGAAATATCTTCAAATAAAAACTAGACAGAAGCATTCTCATAAACTTGTTCGTAATGTGTGTACTCAGCTAACACACGTGGATCTTTCTTTTGATAGAGCAGTTCTGAAAAACACTTTTTGTTGAATCTGCAAGTGGACATTTGGATAGATTTGAAGATTTCGTTGGAAACGGGAATATCTTCATATCAAATCTAGACAGAAGCATTCTCAGAAACGTCTTTGCGATGTTTGCATTCAACTCATAGAGTTGAACATTCCGTTTCAGAGAGCAGCTTTGAGGCACTCTTTTTGTAATATGTGCAAGTGGATATTTGGAGCGCTCTGAGGCCTACGGTGAAAAAGCAAATATCTTCCCATAACCACTAGACAGAAGCATTCTCAGAAACTCCTTTATGGCGTATGTACTCAACTAAAAGAGAAGAACCTTCCTTTTGACAGAGCATTTTTGATACACTCTTTTTGTGGAATCTGCAAGTGGATATTTGGATAGCTGTGAAGATTTCGTTGGAAACGGGAATATCTTCCTATAAAATCTAGACAGAAGCATTCTCAGAAACTGCTCTGTGAAGTCTACATTCAAGTCACAGAGTTGAACATTGCCTTTCATAGAGCAGGTTTGAAACGCTCTTTTTGTAGTATATGGAAGTGGACGTTTCGGACGGTTTGAGGCCCATGGTGATAAAGGGAATAACTTCCCCTACAAGCTAGAAAGAAGCATTCTGTGAAACTTGTTTGTGATGTGTGTACTCAACTAACAGAGTTGAACCTTTCTTTTTACAGAGCAGTTTTGAAACACTCTTTTTGTAGAATCTGCGAGGGGATATTTGGATAGATTTCAGGATTTTGTTGGAAACGGGAATATCTTCATATAAAATCTCGACAGAAGCATTCTCAGAAACTTCATTGTGATATCTGCATTTAAGTCACAGAGTTGAATATTCGCTTTCACAGAGTAGGTTTGAAACACTCTTTTTGTAGTATCTGGAAGTGGACATTTGGAGCGCCTTGACACCTACGGTGAAAAGGGAAATATCTTCCCATAAAAACTAGACAGAAGCAATCTCAGAATCTTCTTTGGGATATAAGCACGCAGCTAACAGAGTTGAACCTTTCTATTGACAGAGCAGTTTTGAAACAGTCTTTCTGTGGAATCTGCAAGTGGATATTTGGATAGCTTGGAGGATTTCGTTGGAAACGGGATTACGCATAAAAAGTAGACAGCAGCATCCTCAGAAACTTCGTTGTGATGTGTGCATTCAAGTCACAGAGTTGAACATTCCCTTTCGTACAGCAGTTTTGAAACACTCTTTCTGTAGCATCTGGAAGTGAACATTAGGACAGCTTTCAGGTCTATGGTGAGAAAGGAAATATCTTCAAATAAAAACTAGACAGAAGCATTCTCATAAACTTGTTCGTGATGTGTGAACTCAGATAAGAGCCGTGGATCTTTCTTTTGATAGAGCAGTTCTGAAAAACACTTTTTGTTGAATCTGCAAGTGGACATTTGGATAGATTTGAAGATTTCTTTGGAAACGGGAATATCTTCATATCAAATCTAGACAGAAGCATTCTCGGACACGTCTTTGTGATGTTTGCATTCAACTCATAGAGTTGAACATTCCGTTTCAGAGAGCAGCTTTGAGGCACTCATTTTGTAGTATGTGAAAGTGGATATTTGGAGCGCTCTGAGGCCTTCGGTGAAAAAGCAAATATCTTCCCATAACCACTAGAGAGAAGCATTCTCAGAAACTCCTTTATGACGTATGCACTCACCTAACAGAAAAGAACCTTCCTTTTGACAGAGCAGTTTTGATACACTCTTTTTGTAGAATCTGCAAGTGGATATTTGGATAGCTGTGAAGATTTCGTTGGAAACGGGAATATCTTCCTATAAAATCTATACAGAAGCATTCTCAGAAACTGCTCTGTGATGTCTGCATTCAAGTCACAGAGTTGAACATTGCCTTTCATAGAGCAGGTTTGAAACGCTCTTTTTGTAGTATATGGAAGTGGACTTTTCGGACGGTTTGAGGCCCATGTTGATAAAGGGAATATCTTCCCCTACAAGCTAGAAAGAAGCATTCTGTGAAACTTGTTTGTGATGTGTGTACTCAACTAACAGAGTTGAACCTTTCTTTTCACAGAGCAGTTTTGAAACACTCTTTTTGTAGAATCTGCGAGGGGAAATTTGGATAGATTTCAGGATTTCATTGGAAACGGGAATATCTTCATACAAAATCTCGACAGAAGCATTCCCAGAAACTTCTTTGTGATATCTGCATTCAAGTCACAGAGTTGAATATTCCCTTTCACAGAGTAGGTTTGAAACACTCTTTTTGTAGTATCTGGATGTGTACATTTGGAGCGCCTTGACACCTACGGTGAAAAGGGAAATATCTTCCCATAAAAACTAGACAGAAGTAATCTCAGAATCTTCTTTGGGATATATGCACGGAGCTAACAGAGTTGAACCTTTCTATTGACATAGCAGTTTTGAAACAGTCTTTCTGTGGAATCTGCAAGTGGATATTTGGATAGCTTGGAGGATTTCGTTGGAAACGGGATTACGTATAAAAATTAGACAGCAGCATCCTCAGAAACTTCTTTGTGATGTGTGCATTCAAGTCACAGAGTTGAACATCACCTTTCGTACAGCAGTTTTGAAACACTCATTCGGTAGTATCTGGAAGTGAACATTAGGATAGCTTTCAGGTCTATGGTGAGAAAGGAAATATCTTCAAATAAAAACTAGACAGAAGCTTTCTCATAAACTTGTTTGTGATGTCTGAACTCAGCTAACAGAGGTGGATCTTTCTTTTGATAGAGCAGTTCTGAAAAACACTTTTTGTTGAATCTGCAAGTGGACATTTGGATAGATTTGAAGATTTCGTTGGAAACGGGAATATCTTCATATCAAATCTAGACAGAAGCATTCGCGGAAACGTCTTTGTGATGTTTGCATTCAACTCATAGAGTTGAACATTCCCTTTCAGAGAGCAGCTTTGAAGCACTCTTTTTGTAGTATGTGCAAGGGGATATTTGGAGCGCTCTGAGGCCTACGGTGAAAAAGCAAATATCTTCCCATAACCACTAGACAGAAACATTCTCAGAAACTCCTTTATGACGTATGCACTCACGTAACAGAAAAGAACCTTCCTTTTGACAGAGCAGTTTTGATACACTCTTTTTGTAGAATCTGCAAGTGGATATTTGGATAGCTGTGAAGATTTCGTTGGAAACGGGAATATCTTCCTATAAAATCTAGACAGAAGCATTCTCAGAAACTGCTCTGTGATGTCTGCATTCAAGTCACAGAGTTGAACATTGCCTTTCATGGAGCAGGTTTGAAACGCTCTTTTTGTAGTATATGGAAGTGGACGTTTCGGACGGTTTGAGGCCCATGGTGATAAAGGGAATATCTTCCCCTACAAGCTAGAAGGAAGCATTCTGTGAAACTTGTTTGTGAGGTGTGTACTCAACTAACAGAGTTGAACCTTTCTTTTTACAGAGCAGTTTTGAAACACTCTTTTTGTAGAATCTGCGAGGGGATATTTGGATAGATTTCAGGATTTCTTTGGAAACGGGAATATCTTCATATAAAATCTCGACAGAAGCATTCTCAGAAACTTCTTTGTGATATCTGCCTTCAAGTCACAGAGTTGAATATTCCCTTTCACAGAGTAGGTTTGAAACACTCTTTTTGTAGTATCTGGAAGTGGACATTTGGAGCGCCTTGACACCTACGGTGAAAAGGGAAATATCTTCCCATAAAAACTAGACAGAAGCAATCTCAGAATCTTCTTTGGGATATATGCACGCAGCTAACAGAGTTGAACCTTTCTATTGACAGAGCAGTTTTGAAACAGTCTTTCTGTGGAATCTGCAAGTGGATATTTGGATAGCTTGGAGGATTTCGTTGGAAAAGGGATTACGTTTAAAAAGTAGACAGCAGCATCCTCAGAAACTTCTTTGTGATGTGTGCATTCAAGTCACAGAGTTGAACATTCCCTTTCGTACAGCAGTTTTGAAACACTCTTTCTGTAGTATCTGGAAGTGAACACTAAGACAGCTTTCAGATCTATGGTGAGAAAGGAAATATCTTCAAATAAAAACTAGACAGAAGCATTCTCATAAACTTGTTTGTGATGTGTGAACTCAGCTAACAGAGCTGGATCTTTCTTTTGATAGAGCAGTTCTGAAAAACACTTTTTGTTGAATCTGCAAGTGGACATTTGGATAGATTTGAAGATTTCTTTGGAAACGGGAATATCTTCATATCAAATCTAGACAGAAGCATTCTCAGAAACGTCTTTGCGATGTTTGCATTCAACTCATAGAGTTGAACATTCCGTTTCAGAGAGGAGCTTTGAGGCACTCTTTTTGTAGTATGTGCAAGTGGATATTTGGAGCGCTCTGAGGCCTACGGTGAAAAAGCAAATATCTTCCCATAACCACTAGACAGAAACATTCTCAGAAACTCCTTTATGACGTATGCACTCACCTAACAGAGAAGAACCTTCCTTTTGACAGAGCAGTTTTGATACACTCTTTTTGTAGAATCTGCAAGTGGATATTTGGATAGCTGTGAAGATTTGGTTGGAAACGGGAATATCTTCCTATAAAATCTAGACAGAAGCATTCTCAGAAACTGCTCTGTGATGTCTGCATTCAAGTCACAGAGTTGAACACTGCCTTTCCTAGAGCAGGTTTGAAACGCTCTTTTTGTATTATATGGAAGTGGACGTTTCGGACGGTTTGAGGCCCATGGTGATAAAGGGAATATCTTCCCCTACAAGCTAGAAAGAAGCATTCTGTGAAACTTGTTTGTGATGTGTGTACTCAACTAACAGAGTTGAACCTTTCTTTCCACAGAGCAGTTTTGAAACACTCTTTTTGTAGAATCTGCGAGGGGATATTTGGATAGATTTCAGCATTTCGTTGGAAACGGGAATATCTTCATATAAAATCTCGACAGAAGCATTCTCAGAAACTTCCTTGTGATATGTGCATTCAAGTCACAGAGTTGAATATTCCCTTTCACAGAGTAGGTTTGAAACACTCTTTTTGTAGTATCTGGAAGTAGACATTTGGAGCGCCTTGACGCCTACGGTGAAAAGGGAAATATCTTCCCATAAAAACTAGACAGAAGCAATCTCAGAATCTTCTTTGGGATATATGCACGCAGCTAACAGAGTTAAACCTTTCTATTGACAGAGCAGTTTTGAAACAGTCTTTCTGTGGAATCTGCAAGTGGATATTTGGATAGCTTGGAGGATTTCGTTGGAAACGGGATTACGCATAAAAAGTAGACAGCAGCATCCTCAGAAACTTCTTTGTGATGTGTGCATTCAAGTCACAGAGTTGAACATTCCCTTTCTTACAGCAGTTTTGAAACACTCTTTCTGTAGTATCTGGAAGTGAACATTAGGACAGCTTTCAGCTCTATGGTGAGAAAGGAAATATCTTCAAATAAAAACTAGACAGAAGCATTCTCATAAACTTGTTTGTGATGTGTGAACTCAGCTAACAGAGGTGCATCTTTCTTTTGATAGAGCAGTTCTGAAAAACACTTTTTGTTGAATCTGCAAGTGGACATTTGGATAGATTTGAACATTTCGTTGGAAACGGGAATATCTTCATATCAAATCTAGACAGAAGCATTCGCGGAAACGTCTTTGTCATGTTTGCATTCAACTCATAGAGTTGAACATTCCGTTTCAGAGAGCAGCTTTGAAGCACTCTTTTTGTCGTATGTGCAAGTGGATATTTGGAGCGCTCTGAGGCCTACGGTGAAAAAGCAAATATCTTCCCATAACCACTAGACAGAAACATTCTCAGAAACTCCTTTATGACGTATGCACTCACCTAACAGAGAAGAACCTTCCTTTTGACAGAGCAGTTTTGATACACTCTTTTTGTAGAATCTGCAAGTGGATATTTGGATAGCTGTGAAGATTTCGTTGGAAACGGGAATATCTTCCTAAAAAATCTAGACAGAAGCATTCTCAGAAACTGCTCTGTGATGTCTGCATTCAAGTCACAGAGTTGAACATTGCCTTTCATAGAGCAGGTTTGAAACGCTCTTTTTGTAGTATATGGAAGTGGAAGTTTCGGACGGTTGGAGGCCCATGGTGATAAAGGGAATATCTTCCCGTACAAGCTAGAAAGAAGCATTCTGTGAAACTTGTTTGTGATGTGTGTACTCAACTAACAGAGTTGAACCTTTCTTTTTACAGAGCAGTTTTGAAACACTCTTTTTGTAGAATCTGCGAGGGGATATTTGGATAGATTTCAGGATTTCGTTGGAAACGGGAATATCTTCATATAAATCTCGACAGAAGCATTCTCAGAAACTTCTTTGTGATATGTGCATTCAAGTCACAGAGTTGAATATTCCCTTTCACAGAGTAGGTTTGAAACACTCTTTTGTAGTATCTGGAAGTGGACATTTGGAGCGCCTTGACACCTACGGTGAAAAGGGAAATATCTTCCCATAAAAACTAGACAGAAGCAATCTCAGAATCTTCTTTGGGATATATGCACGCAGCTAACAGAGTTGAACCTTTCTATTGACAGAGCAGTTTTGAAACAGTCTTTCTGTGGAATCTGCAAGTGGATATTTGGATAGCTTAGAGGATTTCGTTGGAAACGGGATTACGTATAAAAAGTAGACAGCAGCATCCTCAGAAACTTCTTTGTGATGTGTGCATTCAAGTCACAGAGTTGAACATTCCCTTTCGTACAGCAGTTTTGAAACACTCTTTCTGTAGTATCTGAAGTGAACAATAGGACAGCTTTCAGGTCTATGATGAGAAAGTAAATATCTTCAAATAAAAACTAGACAGAAGCATTCTCATAAACTTGTTTGTGATGTGTGAACTCAGCTAACACACGTGGATCTTTCTTTTGATACAGCAGTTTTGAAAAACACTTTTTGTTGAATCTGCAAGTGGACATTTGGATAGATATGAAGATTTCGTTGGAAACGGGAATATCTTCATATCAAATCTAGACAGAAGCATTCTCAGAAACGTCTTTGTGATGTTTGCATTCAACTCATAGAGTTCAACATTCCGTTTCAGAGAGCAGCTTTGAAGCACTCTTTTTGTAGTATGTGCAAGGGGATATATGGAGCGCTCTGAGGCCTAAGGTGAAAAAGCAAATATCTTCCCATAACCACTAGACAGAAACATTCTCAGAAACTCCGTTATGACGTATGCACTCACCTAACAGAGAAGAACCTTCCTTTTGACTGAGCAGTTTTGATACACTCTTTTTGCAGAATCTGCAAGTGGATATTTGGATAGCTGTGAAGATTTCGTTGGAAACGGGAATATCTTCCTATAAAATCTAGACAGAAGCATTCTCAGAAACTGCTCTGTGATGTCTGCATTCAAGTCACAGAGTTGAACATTGCCTTTCATAGAGCAGGTTTGAAACTCTCTTTTTGTAGTATATGGAAGTAGACGTTTCGGACGGTTTGAGGCCCATGGTGATAAAGGGAATATCTTCCCCTACAAGCTAGAAAGAAGCATTCTGTGAAACTTGTTTGTGAAGTGTGTACTCAACTAACAGAGTTGAACCTTTCTTTTTACAGAGCAGTTTTGAAACACTCTTTTGTAGAATCTGCGAGGGGATATTTGGATAGATTTCAGGATTTCGTTGGAAACGGGAATATCTTCATATAAAATCTCGACAGAAGCATTCTCAGAAACTTCTTTGTGATATCTGCCTTCAAGTCACAGAGTTGAATATTCCCTTTCACAGAGTAGGTTTGAAACACTCTTTTTGTAGTATCTGGAAGTGGACATTTGGAGCGCCTTGACGCCTACGGTGAAAAGGGAAATATCTTCCCATGAAAACTAGACAGAAGCAATCTCAGTAATCTTCTTTGGGATATATGCACGCAGCTAAAAGAGTTGAACCTTTCTATTGACAGAGCAGTTTTGAAACAGTCTTTCTGTGGAATCTGCAAGTGGATATTTGGATAGCTTGGAGGATTTCGTTGGAAACGGGATTACGTATAAAAAGTAGACAGCAGCATCCTCAGAAACTTCTTTGTGATGTGTGCATTAAAGTCACAGAGTTGAACATTCCCTTTCGTACAGCAGTTTTGAAACACTCTTTCTGTAGTATCTGGAAGTGAACATTAGGACAGCTTTCAGCTCTATGGTGAGAAAGGAAATATCTTCAAATAAAAACTAGACAGAAGCATTCTCATAAACTTGTTCGTGATGTGTGAACTCAGCTAACACACGTGGATGTTTCTTTTGATAGAGCAGTTCTGAAAAACACTTTTTGTTGAATCTGCAAGAGGACATTTGGATAGATTTGAAGATTTCGTTGGAAACGGGAATATCTTCATATCAAATCTAGACAGAAGCATTCTCAGAAACGTCTTTTGTCATGTTTGCATTCAACTCATAGAGTTGAACATTCCCTTTCAGAGAGCAGCTTTGAAGCACTCTTTTTGTAGTATGTGCAAGGGGATATATGGAGCGCTCTGAGGCCTAAGGTGAAAAAGCAAATATCTTCCCATAACCACTAGACAGAAACATTCTCAGAAACTTCTTTATGACGTATGTACTCAACTAGCAGAGAAGAACATTCAATTTGACAGAGCATTTTTGATACACTCTTTTTGTAGTATCTGCAAGTGGATATTTGGATAGCTGTAAAGATTTCGTTGGAAACGGGAATGTCTTCCTATAAAGTCTAGGCAGAAGCATTCTCAGAAACTGCTCTGTGATGTCTGCATTCAAGTCACAGAGTTGAACATTGCCTTTCATAGAGCAGGTTTGAAACGCTCTTTTTGTAGTATATGGAAGTGCACGTTTCGGACGGTTTGAGGCCCATGGTGATAAAGGAAATATCTTCCCCTACAAGCTAGAAAGAAGCATTCTGTGAAACTTGTTTGTGATGTGTGTACTCAACTAACAGAGTTGAACCTTTCTTTTCACAGAGCAGTTTTGAAACACTCTTTTTGTAGAATCTGCGAGCGGATATTTGGATAGATTTCAGGATTTCGTTGGAAACGGGAATATCTTCATATAAAATCGCGACAGAAGCATTCTCAGAAACTTCTTTGTGATATGTGCATTCAAGTCACAGAGTTGAATATTCCCTTTCACAGAGTAGGTTTGAAACACTCTTTTTGTAGTATCTGGAAGAGGACATTTGGAGCGCCTTGACGCCTACGTTGAAAAGGGAAATATCTTCCCATAAAAACTAGACAGAAGCAATCTCAGAATCTTCTTTGGGATATATGCACGCAGCTAACAGAGTTGAACCTTTCTATTGACAGAGCAGTATTGAAACAGTCTTTCTGTGGAATCTGCAAGTGGATATTTGGATAGCTTGGAGGATTTCGTTGGAAACGGGATTAAGTATAAAAAGTAGACAGCAGCATCCTCAGAAACTTCTTTGTGATGTGTGCATTCAAGTCACCGAGTTGAACATTCCCTTTCGTACAGCAGTTTTGAAACACTCTTTCTGTAGTAACTGGAAGTGAACATTAGGACAGCTTTCAGGTCTATGGTGAGAAAGGAAATATCTTCAAATAAAAACTAGACAGAAGCATTCTCATAAACTTGTTTGTGATGTGTGAACTCAGCTAACAGACGTGGATCTTTCTTTTGATACAGCAGTTTTGAAAAACACTTTTTGTTGAATCTGCAAGTGGACATTTGGATAGATTTGAAGATTTCGTTGGAAACGGGAATATGTTCATATCAAATCTAGACAGAAGCATTCTCAGAAACGTCTTTGTCATGTTTGCATTCAACTCATAGAGTTGAACATTCCCTTTCAGAGAGCAGCTTTGAAAGACTCTTTTTGTAGTATGTGCAAGTGGATATTTGGAGCGCTCTGAGGCCTACGGTGAAAAAGCAAATATCTTCCCATAACCACTAGACAGAAACATTCTCAGAAACTTCTTTATGACGTATGTACTCAAGTAGCAGAGAAGAACTTTCCTTTTGACAGAGCACTTTGGATACACACTTTTTGTAGTATCTGCAAGTGGATATTTGGATAGCTGTGAAGATTTCGTTGGAAACGGGAATATCTTCCTATAAAGTCTGGACAAAAGCATTCTCAGAAACTGCTCTGTGATGTCTGCATTCAAGTCACAGAGTTGAACATTGCCTTTCATAGAGCAGGTTTGAAACGCTCTTTTTGTAGTATATGGAAGTGGACGTTTCGGACGGTTTGAGGCCCATGGTGATAAAGGGAATATCGTCCCCTACCAGCTAGAAAGAAGCATTCTGTGAAACTCGTTTGTGATGTGTGTACTCAACTAACAGAGTTGAACCTTTCTTTTCACAGAGCAGTTTTGAAACACTCTTTTTGTAGAATCTGCGAGGGGAAATTTGGATAGATTTCAGGATTTCGTTGGAAACGGGAATATCTTCATACAAAATCTCGACAGAAGCATTCTCAGAAACTTCATTGTGATATGTGCATTCAAGTCACAGGAGTTGAATATTCCCTTTTACAGAGTAGGTTTGAAACACTCTTTTTGTAGTATCTGGAAGTGGACATTTGGAGCGCTTTGACGCCTACGGTGAAAAGGGAAATATCTTCTCATAAAAACTAGACAGAAGCAATCTCAGAATCTTCTTTGGGATATATGCACGCAGCTAACAGAGTTGAACCTTTCTATTGACAGAGCAGTTTTGAAACAGTCTTTCTGTGGAATCTGCAAGTGGATATTTGGATAGATTGGAGGATTTCGTTGGAAACGGGATTACGTATAAAAAGTAGACAGCAGCATCCTCAGAAACTTCTTTGTGATGTGTGCATTCAAGTCACAGAGTTGAACATTCCCTTTCGTACAGCAGTTTTGAAACACTCTTTCTGTAGTATCTGGAAGTGAACATTAGGACAGCTTTCAGGGCTATGGTCAGAAAGGAAATATCTTCAAATAAAAACTAGACAGAAGCATTCTGATAAACTTGTTTGTGAAGTGTGATCTCAGCTAACAGAGGTGGATCTTTCTTTTGATAGAGCAGTTCTGAAAAACACTTTTTGTTGAATCTGCAAGTGGACATTTGGATAGATTTGAAGATTTCGTTGGAAACGGGAATATCTTCATATCAAATCTAGACAGAAGCATTCTCAGAAACGTCTTTGTGATGTTTGCATTCAACTCATAGAGTTGAACATTCCGTTTCAGAGAACAGCTTTGAAGCACTCTTTTTGTAGTATGTGCAAGTGGATATTTGGAGCGCTCTGAGGCCTACGGGGAAAAAGCAAATATCTTCCCATAACCACTAGACAGAAACATTCTCAGAAACTCCTTTATGACGTATGCACTCACCTAACAGAGAAGAACCTTCCTTTTGACAGAGCAGATTTGATACACTCTTTTTGTAGAATCTGCAAGTGGATATTTGGATAGCTGTGAAGATTTCGTTGGAAACGGGAATATCTTCCTATAAAATCTAGACAGAAGCATTCTCAGAAACTGCTCTGTGATGTCTGCATTCAAGTCACAGAGTTGAACATTGCCTTTCATAGAGCAGGTTTGAAACGCTCTTTTTGTAGTATATGGAAGTGGATGTTTCGGTCGGTTGGAGGCCCATGGTGATAAAGGGAATATCTTCCCCTACAAGCTAGAAAGAAGCATTCTGTGAAACTTGTTTGTGATGTGTGTACTCAACTAACAGAGTTGAACCTTTCTTTTCACAGAGCAGTTTTGAAACACTCTTTTTGTAGAATCTGCGAGGGGATATTTGGATAGATTTCAGGATTTCGTTGGAAACGGGAATATCTTCATACAAAATCTCGACAGAAGCATTCTCAGAAACTTCTTTGTGATATCTGCATTCAAGTCACAGAGTTGAATATTCCCTTCCACAGAGTAGGTTTGAAAGACTCTTTTTGTAGTATCTGGAAGTGGACATTTGGAGCGCCTTGACGCCTACGGTGAAAAGGGAAATATCTTCCCATAAAAACTAGACAGAAGCAATCTCAGAATCTTCTTTGGGATATATGCACGCAGCTAACAGAGTTGAACCTTTCTATTGACAGAGCAGTTTTGAAACAGTCTTTCTGTGGAATCTGCAAGTGGATATTTGGATAACTTGGAGGATTTCGTTGGAAACGGGATTACGTATAAAAAGTAGACAGCAGCATCCTCAGAAACTTCTTTGTGATGTGTGCACTGAAGTCACAGAGTTGAACATTCCCTTTCGTACAGCAGTTTTGAAACACTCTTTCTGTAGTATCTGGAAGTGAACATTAGGACAGCTTTCAGGTCTATGGTGAGAAAGGAAATATCTTCAAATAAAAACTAGACAGAAGCATTCTCATAAACTTGTTTGTGAAGTGTGAACTCAGCTAACACAGGTGGATCTTTCTTTTGATACAGCAGTTTTGAAAAACACTTTGTTGAATCTGCAAGTGGACATTTGGATAGATTTGAAGATTTCGTTGGAAACGGGTATATCTTCATAACAAATCTAGACAGAAGCATTCTCAGAAACGTCTTTGTGATGTTTGCATTGAACTCATAGAGTTGAACATTCCCTTTCAGAGAGCAGCTTTGAAGCACTCTTTTTGTAGTATGTTCAAGTGGACATTTGGAGCGCTTTGAGGCCTACAGGGAAAAAGCAAATATCTTCCCATAACAACTAGACAGAAACATTCTCAGAAACTCCTTTATGACGTATGCACTCACCTAACAGAGAAGAACCTTCCTTTTGACAGAGCAGTTTTGATACACTCTTTTTGTAGAATCTGCAAGTGGATATTTGGATAGCTGTGAAGATTTCGTTGGAAACGGGCATATCTTCCTATAAAATCTAGACAGAAGCATTGTCAGAAACTGCTCTGTGATGTCTGCATTCAAGTCACAGAGTTGAACATTGCCTTTCATAGAGCAGGTTTGAAACGCTCTTTTTGTAGGATATGGAAGTGGACTTATCGGACGGTTTGAGGCCCATGGTGATAAAGGGAATATCTTCCCCTACAAGCTAGAAAGAAGCATTCTGTGAAACTTGTTTGTGATGTTTGCACTCAACTAACAGAGTTGAACCTTTCTTTTTACAGAGCAGTTTTGAAACACTCTTTTTGTAGAATCTGCGAGGGGATATTTGGATACATTTCAGGATTTCGTTGGAAACGGGAATATCTTCATATAAAATCTCGACAGAAGCATTCTCAGAAACTTCATTGTGATATCTGCATTCAAGTCACAGAGTTGAATATTCCCTTTCAGAGAGTAGGTTTGAAACACTCTTTTTGTAGTATCTGGAAGTGGACATTTGGAGCGCCTTGACACCTACGGTGAAAAGGGAAATATCTTCCCATTAAAACTAGACAGAAGCAATCTCAGAATCTTCTTTGGGATATATGCACGCAGCTAACAGAGTTGAACCTTTCTATTGACAGAGCAGTTTTGAAACAGTCTTTCTGTGGAATCTGCAAGTGGATATTTGGTTAGCTTGGAGGATTTCGTTGGAAACGTCATTACGTATAAAAAGTAGACAGCAGCATCCTCAGAAACTTCTTTGTGATGTGTGCATTCAAGTCACAGAGTTGAACATTCCCTTTCGTACAGCAGTTTTGAAACACTCTTTCTGTAGTATCTGGAAGTGGACATTAGGACAGCTTTCAGGTCTATGGTGAGAAAGGAAATATCTTCAAATAAAAACTAGACAGAAGCATTCTCATAAACTTGTTTGTGATGTGTGAACTCAGCTAACAGAGGTGGATCTTTCTTTTGATAGAGCAGTTCTGAAAAACACTTTTTGTTGAATCTGCAAGTGCACATTTGGATAGATTAGAAGATTTCGTTGGAAACGGGAATATCTTCATATCAAATCTAGACAGAAGCATTCTCAGAAACCGTCGTTGTGATGTTTGCATTCAACTCATAGAGTTGAACATTCCGATTCAGAGAGCAGCTTTGAGGCACTCTTTTTGTAGTATGTGCAAGTGGATATTTGGAGCGCTCTGAGGCCTACGGTGAAAAAGCAAATATCTTCCCATAACCACTAGACAGAAACATTCTCAGAAACTCCTTTATGACGTATGCACTCACCTAACAGAGGAGAACCTTCCTTTTGACAGAGCAGTTTTGATACACTCTTTTTGTAGAATCTGCAAGTGGATATTTGGATAGCTGTGAAGATTTCGTTGGAAACGGGAATATCTTCCTATAAAATCTAGACAGAAGCATTCTCAGAAACTGCTCTGTGATGTCTGCATTCAAGTCACAGAGTTGAACATTGCCTTTCATAGAGCAGGTTTGAAACGCTCTTTTTGTAGTATATGGAAGTGGACGTTTCGGACGGTTTGAGGCCAATGGTGATAAAGGGAATATCTTCCCCTACAAGCTAGAAAGAAGCATTCTGTGAAACTTGTTTGTGATGTGTGTACTCAACTAACAGAGTTGAACCTTTCTTTTTACAGAGCAGTTTTGAAACACTCTTTTTGTAGAATCTGCGAGGGGATATTTGGATAGACTTCAGGATTTCGTTGGAAACGGGAATATCTTCATATAAAATCTCGACAGAAGCATTCTCAGAAACTTCTTTGTGCTATCTGCATTCAAGTCACAGAGTTGAATATTCCCTTTCACAGAGTAGGTTTGAAACACTCTTTTTGTAGTATCTGGAAGTGGACATTTGGAGCGCCTTGACACCTAAAGTGAAAAGGGAAATATCTTCCCATAAAAACTAGACAGAAGCAATCTCAGAATCTTCTTTGGGATATATGTACGCAGCTAATAGAGTTGAACCTTTCTATTGACAGAGCAGTTTTGAAACAGTCTTTCTGTGGAATCTGCAAGGGGATATTTGGATAGCTTGGAGGATTTCGTTGGAAACGGGATTACTGTATAAAAAGTAGACAGCAGCATCCTCAGAAACTTCTTTGTGATGTGTGCATTCAAGTCACAGAGTTGAACATTCCCTTTCGTACAGCAGTTTTGAAACACTCTTTCTGTAGTATCTGGAAGTGAACCATTAGGACAGCTTTCAGCTCTATGGTGAGAAAGGAAATATCTTCAAATAAAAACTAGACAGAAACATTCTCATAAACTTGTTTGTGATGTGTGAACTCAGCTAACAGAGGTGGATCTTTCTTTTGATAGAGCAGTTCTGAAAAACACTTTTTGTTGAATCTGCAAGTGGACATTTGGATAGATTTGAAGATTTCGTTGGAAACGGGAATATCTTCATATCAAATCTAGACAGAAGCATTCTCAGAAACGTCTTTGCGATGTTTGCATTCAACTCATAGAGTTGAACATTCCGTTTCAGAGAGCAGCTTTGAGGCACTCTTTGTAGTATGTGCAAGTGGATATTTGGAGCGCTCTGAGGCCTACGGTGAAAAAGCAAATATCTTCCCATAACCACTAGACAGAAACATTCTCAGAAACTCCTTTCTGACGTATGCACTCACCCAACAGAGAAGAACCTTCCTTTTGACAGAGCAGTTTTGATACACTCTTTTTGTAGAATCTGCAAGTGGATATTGGGATAGCTGTGAAGATTTCGTTGGAAACGGGAATATCTTCCTATAAAATCTAGACAGAAGCATTCTCAGAAACTGCTCTGTGATGTCTGCATTCAAGTCACAGAGTTGAACATTGCTTTTCATAGAGCAGGTTTGAAACGGTCTTTTTGTAGTATATGGAAGTAGACGTTTCGGACGGTTTGAGGCCCATGGTGATAAAGGGAATATCTTCCCCTACAAGCTAGAAAGAAGCATTCTGTGAAACTTGTTTGTGATGTGTGTACTCAACTAACAGAGTTGAACCTTTCTTTTTACAGAGCAGTTTTGAAACACTCTTTTTGTAGAATCTGCGAGGGGATATTTGGATAGATTTCAGGATTTTGTTGGAAACCGGAATATCTTTATATAAAATCTGGACAGAAGCATTCTCAGAAACTTCTTTGTGATATCTGCATTCAAGTCACAGAGTTGAATATTCCCTTCCACAGAGTAGGTTTGAAACACTCTTTTTGTGGTATCTGGAAGTGGACATTTGGAGCGCCTTGACGCCTACGGTGAAAAGGGAAATATCTTCCCATAAAAACTAGACGGAAGCCATCTCAGAATCTTCTTTGGGATATATGCACGCAGCTAACAGAGTTGAACCTTTCTATTGACAGAGCAGTTTTGAAACAGTCTTTCTGTGGAATCTGCAAGTGGATATTTGGATAGCTTGGAGGATTTCGTTGGAAACGGGATTACGCATAAAAAGTAGACAGCAGCATCCTCAGAAAATTCTTTGTGATGTGTGCATTCAAGTCACAGAGTTGAACATTCCCTTTCGTACAGCAGTTTTGAAACACTCTTTCTGTAGTATCTGGAAGTGAACATTAGGACAGCTTTCAGGTCTTTGGTGAGAAAGGAAATATCTTCAAATAAAAACTAGACAGAAGCATTCTCATAAACTTGTTTGTGATGTGTGAAGTCAGCTAACAGAGGTGGATCTTTCTTTTGATAGAGCAGTTCTGAAAAACACTTTTTGTTGAATCTGCAAGTGGACATTTGGATAGATTTGAAGATTTCGTTGGAAACGGGAATATCTTCATATCAAATCTAGACAGAAGCATTCTCAGAAACGTCTTTGCGATGTTTGCATTCAACTCATAGAGTTAAACATTCCGTTTCAGAGAGCAGCTTTGAAGCACTCTTTTTGTAGTATGTGCAAGTGGATATTTGGAGCGCTCTGAGGCCTACGGTGAAAAAGCAAATATCTTCCCATAACCACTAGACAGAAACATTCTCAGAAACTCCTTTATGACGTATGCACTCACCTAACAGAGAAGAACCTTCCTTTTGACAGAGCAGTTTTGATACACACTTTTTGTAGAATCTGCAAGTGGATATTTGGATAGCTGTGAAGATTTCGTTGGAAACGGGAATATCTTCCTATAAAATCTAGACAGAAGCATTCTCAGAAACTGCTCTGTGATGTCTGCATTCAAGTCACAGAGTTGAACATTGACTTTCATAGAGCAGGTTTGAAACGCTCTTTTTGTAGTATATAAAAGTGGACGTTTCGGACGGTTTGAGGCCCATGGTGATAAAGGGAATATCTTCCCCTACAAGCTAGAAAGAAGCATTCTGTGAAACTTGTTTGTGATGTGTGTACTCAACTAACAGAGTTGAACCTTTCTTTTTACAGAGCAGTTTTGAAACACTCTTTTTGTAGAATCTGCGAGGGGATATTTGGATACATTTCAGCATTTCGTTGGAAACGGGAATAAATTCATATAAAATCTCGACAGAAGCATTCTCAGAAACTTCTTTGTGATATCCTGCATTCAAGTCACAGAGTTGAATATTCCCTTTCACAGAGTAGGTTTGAAACACTCTTTTTGTAGTATCTGGAAGTGGACATTTGGAGCGCCTTGACGCCTACAGTGAAAAGGGAAATATCTTCCCATAAAAACTAGACAGAAGCAATCTCAGAATTTTCTTTGGGATATATGCACATAGCTAACAGAGTTGAACCTTTCTTTTTACAGAGCAGTTTTGAAACACTCTTTTTGTAGAATCTGCAAGTGGATATTTGGATAGCTTGGAGGATTTCGTTGGAAACGGGATTACGTATAAAAAGTAGACGGCAGCATCCTCAGAAACTTCTTTGTGATGTGTGCATTCAAGTCACAGAGTTGAACATTCCTTTTCGTACAGCAGTTTTGAAACACTCTTTCTGTAGTATCTGGAAGTGAACATTAGGACAGCTTTCAGGTCTATGGTGAGAAAGGAAATATCTTCAAATAAAAACTAGACAGAAGCATTCTCATAAACTTGTTTGTGATGTGTGAACTCAGCTAACAGAGGTGGATCTTTCTTTTGATAGAGCAGTTCTGAAAAACACTTTTGGTTGAATCTGCAAGTGGACATTTGGATAGATTTGAAGATTTCGTTGGAAACTTGAATATCTTCATATCAAATCTAGAGAGAAGCATTCTCAGAAACGTCTTTGTGATGTTTGCATTCAACTCATAGAGTTGAACATTCCGTTTCAGAGAGCAGCTTTGAAGCACTCTTTTTGTAGTATCTGCAAGTGGATATTTGGAGTGCTCTGAGGCCTACGGTGAAAAAGCAAATATCTTCCCATAACCACTAGACAGAAACATTCTCAGAAACTCCTTTATGACGTATGTACTCAACTAACAGAGAAGAACCTTCCTTTTGACAGAGCAGTTTTGATACACTCTTTTTGTAGAATCTGCAAGTGCATATTTGGATAGCTGTGAAGATTTCGTTGGAAACTGGAATATCTTCCTATAAAATCTAGACAGAAGCATTCTCAGAAACTGCTCTGTGATGTCTGCATTCAAGTCACAGAGTTGAACATTGCCTTTCATAGAGCAGGTTTGAAACGCTCTTTTTGTAGTATATGGAAGTAGACGTTTCGGACGGCTTGAGGCCCATGGTGATAAAGGGAATATCTTCCCCTACAAGCTAGAAAGAAGCATTCTGTGAAACTTGTTTGTGATGTGTGTACTCAACTAACAGTGTTGAACCTTTCTTTTTACAGAGCAGTTTTGAAACACTCTTTTTGTAGAATCTGCGAGGGGATATTTGGATAGATTTCAGGATTTCGTTGGGAACGGGAATATCTTCATATAAAATCTCGACAGAAGCATTCTCAGAAACTTCTTTGTGATATGTGCATTCAAGTCACAGAGTTGAATATTCCCTTTCACAGAGTAGGTTTGAAACACTCTGTTTGTAGTATCTGGAAGTGGACATTTGGAGCGCCTTGACGCCTACGGTGAAAAGGGAAATATCTTCCCATAAAAACTAGACAGAAGCAATCTCAGAATCTTCTTTGGGATATATGCACGCAGCTAGCAGAGTTGAACCTTTCTATTGACAGAGCAGTTTTGAAACAGTCTTTCTGTGGAATCTGCAAGTGGATATTTGGATAGCTTGGAGGATTTCGTTGGAAACGGGATTACGTATAAAAAGTAGACAGCAGCATCCTCAGAAACTTCTTTGTGATGTGTGCATTCAAGTCACAGAGTTGAACATTCCCTTTCGTACAGCAGTTTTGAAACACTCTTTCTGTAGTATCTAGAAGTGAACATTAGGACAGCTTTCAGCTCTATGGTGAGAAAGGAAATATCTTCAAATAAAAACTAGACAGAAGCATTCTCATAAACTTGTTTGTGATGTGTGAACTCAGCTAACAGAGGTGGATCTTTCTTTTGATAGAGCAGTTCTGAAAAACACTTTTTGTTGAATCTGCAAGTGGACATTTGGATAGATTTGAAGATTTCGTTGGAAACGGGAATATCTTCATATCAATCTAGACAGAAGCATTCTCAGAAACGTCTTTGTGATGTTTGCATTCAACTCATAGAGTTGAACATTCCGTTTCAGAGAGCAGCTTTGAGGCACACTTTTTGTAGTATGTGCAAGTGGATATTTGGAGCGCTCTGAGGCCTACGGTGAAAAAGCAAATATCTTCCCATAACCACTAGACAGAAACATTCTCAGAAACTGCTTTATGACGCATGCACTCACCTAACAGAGAAGAACCTTCCTTTTGACAGAGCAGCTTTGATACACTCTTTTTGTAGAATCTGCAAGTGGATATTTGGATAGCTGTGAAGATTTCGTTGGAAACGGGAATATCTTCCTATAAAATCTAGACAGAAGCATTCTCATAAACTGCTCTGTGATGTCTGCATTCAAGTCACAGAGTTGAACATTGCCTTTCCTAGAGCAGGTTTGAAACGCTCTTTTTGTAGTATATGGAAGTGGACGTTTCGGACGGTTTGAGGCCCATGGTGATAAAGGGAATATCTTCCCCTACAAGCTAGAAAGAAGCATTCTGTGAAACTTGTTTGTGATGTGTGTACTCAACTAAGAGAGTTGAACCTTTCTTTTCACAGAGCAGTTTTGAAACACTCTTTTTGTAGAATCTGCGAGGGGATATTTGGATAGATTTCAGGATTTCGTTGGAAACGGGAATATCTTCATACAAAATCTCGACAGAAGCATTCTCAGAAACTTCTTTGTGATATCTGCCTTCAAGTCACAGAGTTGAATATTCCCTTTCACTGAGTAGGTTTGAAACACTCTTTTTGTAGTATCTGGAAGTGGACATTTGGAGCGCCTTGACGCCTACGGTGAAAAGGGAAATATCTTCCCATAAAAACTAGACAGAAGCAATCTCAGAATCTTCTTTGGGATATATGCATGCAGCTAACAGAGTTGAACCTTTCTATTGGCAGAGCAGTTTTGAAACAGTCTTTCTGTGGAATCTGCAAGTGGATATTTGGATAGCTTGGAGGATTTCGTTGGAAACGGGATTAAGTATAAAAAGTAGACAGCAGCATCCTCAGAAACATCCTTGTGATGTGTGCATTCAAGTCACAGAGTTGAACATTCCCTTTCGTACAGCAGTTTTCAAACACTCTTTCTGTAGTATCTGGAAGTGAACTTTAGGAGAGCTTTCAGGTCTATAGTGAGAAAGGATATATCTTCAAATAAAAACTAGACAGAAGCATTCTCATAAACTTGTTTGTGATCTGTGAACTCAGCTAAGAGACGTGGATCTTTCTTTTGATAGAGCAGTTCTGAAAAACACTTTTTGTTGAATCTGCAAGTGGACATTTGGATAGATTTGAAGATTTCTTTGGAAACGGGAATATCTTCATATCAAATCTAGACAGAAGCTTTCTCAGAAACGTCTTTGTGATGTTTGCATTCAACTCATAGAGTTGAACATTCCGTTTCAGAGAGCAGCTTTGAAGCACTCTTTTTGTAGTATGTGCAAGGGGATATTTGGAGCGCTCTGAGTCCTAAGGTGAAAAAGCAAATATCTTCCCATAACCAATAGACAGAAGCATTCTGTGAAACTTGTTTGTGATGTGTTTACTCAACTAACAGAGTTGAACTTTTCTTTTGATAGAGCAGTTTTCAAACATTCTTTTTGTAGAGTCTGCAAGTGGATATTTGGCTAGCTTTGAGGATTTTGTTGGAAACGGGAATATCTTCACATAAAAACTAGGCAGAAGCATTCTCTGAAACTTCTTTGTGTTGTTTGCATTTAACTCACAGAGTTGAACATTCCCTTTCATACAGCAGTTCTGAAACACTCATTTTGTAGTAGATGGAAGTGGACACTTGGACTGCTTCGAGGCCTATGGTGAAAAAGGTAGTACCCTCACATAAAAACTAGACAGAAGCATTCTGTGAAACTTGTTTGTGATGTGTGTACTCAACTAACAGACTTGAACCTTTCTTTTTACAGAGCAGTTTTGAAACACTCTTTTTGTAGAATCTGCGAGGGGATATTTGGATAGATTTCAGGATTTCGTTGGAAAGGGGAATATCTTCATATAAAATCTCGACAGAAGCATTCTCAGAAACTTCTTTGTGATATGTGCATTCAAGTCACAGAGTTGAATATTCCCTTTTACACAGTAGGTTTGAAACACTCTTTTTGTAGTATCTGGAAGTGAACATTTGGAGCGCCTTGACGCCTACGGTGAAAAGGGAAATATCTTCTCATAAAAAGTAGACAGAAGCAATCTCAGAATCTTCTTTGGGATATATGCACGCAGCTAACAGAGTTGAACCTTTCTATTGACAGAGTAGTTTTGAAACAGTCTTTCTGTGGAATCTGCAAGTGGATATTTGGATAGCTTGGAGGACTTCGTTGGAAACGGGATTAAGTATAAAAAGTAGACAGCAGCATCCTCAGAAACTTCTTTGTGATGTGTGCATTCAAGTCACAGAGTTGAACATTCCCTTTCGTACTGCAGTTTTGAAACACTCTTTCTGTAGTATCTGGAAGTGAACATTAGGACAGCTTTCAGCTCTATGGTGAGAAAGGAAATATCTTCAAATAAAAACTAGACAGAAGCATTCTCATAAACTTGTTCGTGATGTGTGAACTCAGCTAACACACGTGGATCTTTCTTTTGATAGAGCAGTTCTGAAAAACACTTTTTGTTGAATCTGCAAGAGGACAGTTGGATAGATTTGAAGATTTCGTTGGAAACGGGAATATCTTCCATATCAAATCTAGACAGAAGCATTCTCAGAAACGTCTTTGTGATGTTTGCATTCAACTCATAGAGTTGAACATTCCGTTTCAGAGAGCAGGTTTGAAGCACTCTTTTTGTAGTATGTGCAAGTGGATATTTGGAGGGCTCTGAGGCCTACGGTGAAAAAGCAAATATCTTCCCATAACCACTAGACAGAAACATTCTCAGAAACTCCTTTACGACGTATGCACTCACCTAACAGAGGAGAACCTTCCTTTTGACAGAGCAGTTTTGATACACTCTTTTTGTAGAATCTGCAAGTGGATATTTGGATAGCTGTGAAGATTTCGTTGGAAACGGGAATATCTTCCTATAAAATCTAGACAGAAGCATTCTCAGAAACTGCTCTGTGATGTCTACATTGAAGTCACAGAGTTGAACATTGCCTTTCATAGAGCAGGTTTGAAACGCTCTTTTTGTAGTATATGGAAGTGGACGTTTCGGACGGTTTGAGGCCCATGGTGATAAAGGGAATATCTTTCCCTACAAGCTAGAAAGAAGCATTCTGTGAAACTTGTTTGTGATGTGTGTACTCAACTAACAGAGTTGAACCTTTCTTTTTACAGAGCAGTATTGAAACACTCTTTTTGAAGAATCTGCGAGGGGATATTTGGATAGATTTCAGGATTTCGTTGGAAACGGGAATATCTTCATATAAAATCTCGACAGAAGCATTCTCAGAAACTTCCTTGTGATATGTGCATTGAAGTCACAGAGTTGAATATTCCCTTTCACAGAGTAGGTTTGAAACACTCTTTTTGTAGTATCTGGAAGTGGACATTTGGAGCGCCTTGACGCCTACGGTGAAAAGGGAAATATCTACCAATAAAAACTAGACAGAAGCAATCTCAGAATCTTCTTTGGGATATATGCACGCAGCTAACAGAGTTGAACGTTTCTATTGACAGAGCAAGTTTTGAAACAGTCTTTCTGTGGAATCTGCAAGTGGATATTTGGATAGCTTGGAGGATTTCGTTGGAAACGGGATTACGTATAAAAAGTAGACAGCAGCATCCTCAGAAACTTCTTTGTGATGTGTGCATTCAAGTCACAGAGTTGAACATTCCCTTTCGTACAGCAGTTTTGAAACACTCTTTCTGTAGTACCTGGAAGTGAACATTAGGACAGCTTTCAGCTCTATGGTGAGAAAGGAAATATCTTCAAATAAAAACTAGACAGAAGCATTCTCATATACTTGTTTGTGATGTGTGAACTCAGCTAACAGAGGTGGATCTTTCTTTTGATAGAGCAGTTGTGAAAAACACTTTTTGTTGATTATGCAAGTGGACATTTGGATAGATTTGAAGATTTCGTTGGAAACGGGAATATCTTCATATCAAATCTAGACAGAAGCATTCTCAGAAACGTCTTTGTGATGTTTGCATTCAACTCATAGAGTTGAACATTCCGTTTCAGAGAGCAGCTTTGAAGCACTCTTTTTGTAGTATGTGCAAGGGGATATTTGGAGCGCTCTGAGGCCTAAGGTGAAAAAGGAAATATCTTCCCATAACCACTAGACAGAAACATTCTCAGAAACTCCTTTATGACGTATGCACTCACCTAACAGAGAAGAACCTTCCTTTTGACAGAGCAGTTTTGATACACTCTTTTTGTAGAATCTCCAAGTGGATATTTGGATAGCTGTGAAGATTTCGTTGGAAACGGGAATATCCTCCTATAATATCTAGACAGAAGCATTCGCAGAAACTGCTCTGTGATGTCTGCATTCAAGTCACAGAGTTGAACATTGCCTTTCATAGAGCCGGTTTGAAACGCTCTTTTTGTAGTATATGGAAGTGGATGTTTCGGACGGTTGGAGGCCCATGGTGATAAAGGGAATATCTTCCCCTACAAGATAGAAAGAAGCATTCTGTGAAACTTGTTTGTGATGTGTGTACTCAACTAACGGAGTTGAACCTTTCTTTTTACAGAGCAGTTTTGAAACACTCTTTTTGTAGAATCTGCGAGGGGATATTTGGATAGATTTCAGGATTTCGTTGGAAACGGGAATATCTTCATAGAAAATCTCGACAGAAGCATTCTCAGAAACTTCTTTGTGATATGTGCATTCAAGTCACAGAGTTGAATATTCCCTTTCACAGAGTAGGTTTGAAACACTCTTTTTGTAGTATCTGGAAGTGGCCATTTGGAGCGCCTTGACACCTACGGTGAAAAGGGAAATATCTTCCCATAAAAACTAGACAGAAGCAATCTCAGAATCTTCTTTGGGATATATGCACGCAGCTAACAGAGTTGAACCTTTCTATTGCCAGAGCAGTTTTGAAACAGTCTTTCTGTGGAATCTGCAAGTGGATATTTGGATAGCTTGGAGGATTTCGTTGGAAACGGGATTACGTATAAAAAGTAGACAGCAGCATCCTCAGAAACTTCTTTGTGATGTGTGCATTCAAGTCACAGAGTTGAACATTCCCTTTCGTACAGCAGTTTTGAAACACTCTTTCTGTAGTATCTGGAAGTGAACTTTAGGAGAGCTTTCAGGTCTATAGTGAGAAAGGATATATCTTCAAATAAAAACTAGACAGAAGCATTCTCATAAACTTGTTTGTGATGTGTCAACTCAGCTAACAGAGGTGGATCTTTCTTTTGATAGAGCAGTTCTGAAAAACACTTTTTGTTGAATCTGCAAGTGGACATTTGGATAGATTTGAAGATTTCGTTGGAAACGGGAATATCTTCATATCAAATCTAGACAGAAGCATTCTCAGAAACGTCTTTGTGATGTTTCAATTAAACTCATGGAGATGAACATTCCCTTTCAGAGAGCAGCTTTGAAGCACTCTTTTTGTAGTATGTGCAAGTAGATATTTTGAGCGCTCTGAGGCCTACGGGGAAAAAGCAAATATCTTCCCATAACCACTAGACAGAAACATTCTCAGAAACTCCTTTATGACGTATGCACTCACCTAACAGAGAAGAACCTTCCTTTTGACAGAGAAGTTTTGATACACTCTTTTTGTAGAATCTGCAAGTGGATATTTGGATAGCTGTGAAGATTTCGTTGGAAACGGGAATATCTTCCTATAAAATCTAGACAGAAGCATTCTCAGAAACTGCTCTGTGATGTCTGCATTCAAGTCACAGAGTTGAACATTGCCTTTCCTAGAGCAGGTTTGAAACCCTCTTTTTGTAGTATAGGGAAGTGGACGTTTCGGACGGTTTGAGGCCCATGGTGATAAAGGGAATATCTTCCCCTACAAGCTAGAAAGAAGCATTCTGTGAAACTTGTTTGTGATGTGTGTACTCAACTAACAGAGTTGAACCTTTCTTTTTACAGAGCAGTTTTGAAACACTCTTTTTGTAGAATCTGCGAGGGGATATTTCGATAGATTTCAGGATTTCGTTGTAAACGGGAATATCTTCATATAAAATCTCGACAGAAGCATTCTAAGAAGCTTCTTTGTGATATGTGCATTCAAGTCACAGAGTTGAATATTCCCTTTCACAGAGTAGGTTTGAAACACTCTTTTTGTAGTATCTGGAAGTGGACATTTGGAGCGCCTTGACGCCTACGGTGAAAACGGAAATATCTTCTCATAAAAAGTAGACAGAAGCAATCTCAGAATATTCTTTGGGATATATGCACGCAGCTAACAGAGTTGAACCTTTCTATTGACAGAGCAGTTTTGAAACAGTCTTTCTGTGGAATCTGCAAGTGGATATTTGGATAGCTTGGAGGATTTCGTTGGAAACGGGATTACGTATAAAAAGTAGACAGCAGCACCTCAGAAACTTCTTTGTGATGTGTGCATTCAAGTCACAGAGTTGAACATTCCCTTTCGTACAGCAGTTTTGAAACACTCTTTCTGTAGTATCTGGAAGTGAACATTAGGACAGCTTTCAGCTCTATGGTGAGAAAGGAAATATCTTCAAATAAAAACTAGACAGAAGCATTCTCATAAAATTGTTTGTGATGTGTGAACTCAGCTAACAGAGGTGGATATTTCTTTTGATATAGTAGTTTTGAAAAACACTTTTTGTAGAATCTGAAAGTGGATATTTGGATAGATTTGAAGATTTCGTTGGAAACGGGAATATCTTCGTATAAAATCTAGACAGAAGCATTCTCAGAAACGTCTTTGTGATGTTTGCATTCAACTCATAGAGTTGAACATTCCCTTTCAGAGAGCAGCTTTGAAGCACTCTTTTTGTAGCATGTGCAAGTGGACATTTGTAGCGCCCTGAGGCCTACGGGGAAAAAGCAAATATCTTCCCATAACCACTAGACAGAAACATTCTCAGAAACTCCTTTATGACGTATGCACTCACCTAACAGAGAAGAACCTTCCTTTTGACAGAGCAGTTTTGATACACTCTTTTTGTAGAATCTGCAACTGGATATTTGGATAGCTGTGAAGATTTCGTTGGAAACGGGAATATCTTCCTATAAAATCTAGACAGAAGCATTCTCAGAAACTGCTCTGTGATGTCTGCATTCAAGACACAGAGTTCAACATTGCCTTTCATAGAGCAGGTTTGAAACGCTCTTTTTGTAGTATATGGAAGTGGATGTTTCGGACGGTTGGAGGCCCATGGTGATAAAGGGAATATCTTCCCCTACAAGCTAGAAAGAAGCATTCTGTGAAACTTGTTTGTGATGTGTGTACTCAACTAACAGAGTTGAACCTTTCTTTTCACAGAGCAGTTTTGAAACACTCTTTTTCTAGAATCTGCGAGGGGATATTTGGATAGATTTCAGGATTTCATTGGAAACGGGTATATCTTCATATAAAATCTCGACAGAAGCATTCTCAGAAGCTTCTTTGTGATATGTGCATTCAAGTCACAGAGTTGAATATTCCCTTTCACAGAGTAGGTTTGAGACACTCTTTTTGTAGTATCTGGAAGTGGACATTTGGAGCACATTGACGCCTACGGTGAAAAGGGAAATATCTTCTCATAAAAAGTAGACAGAAGCAATCTCAGAATCTTCTTTGGGATATATGCACGCAGCTAACAGAGTTTAACCTTTCTATTGACAGAGCAGTTTTGAAACAGTCCTTCTGTGGAATCTGCAAGTGGATATTTGGATAGATTGGAGGATTTCGTTGGAAACGGGATTACGTATAAAAAGTAGACAGCAGCATCCTCAGAAACTTCTTTGTGATGTGTGCATTCATGTCACAGTGTTGAACATTCCCTTTCGTACAGCCGTTTTGAAACACTCTTTCTGTAGTATCTCTAAGTGAACATTAGGACATCTTTCAGGTCTATGGTGAGAAAGGAAATATCTTCAAATAAAAACTAGACAGAAGCATTCTCATAAACTTGTTTGTGATGTGTGAACTCAGCTAACAGAGGTGAATCTTTCTTTTGAAAGAGCAGTTCTGAAAAACACTTTTTGTTGAATCTGCAAGTGGACATTTGGATAGATTTGAAGATTTCGTTGGAAACGGGAATATCTTCATATCAAATCTAGACAGAAGCATTCTCGGAAACGTCTTTGTCATGTTTGCATTCAACTCATAGAGTTGAACATTCCGTTTCAGAGAGCAGCTTTGAAGCACTCTTTTTGTAGTATGTGCAAGTGGATATTTGGAGCGCTCTGAGGCCTAAGATGAAAAAGCAAATATCTTCCCATAACCACTAGACAGAAACATTCTCAGAAACTCCTTTATGACGTATGTACTCAACTAACAGAGAAGAACCTTCCTTTTGAAAGAGCAGTTTTGATACACTCTTTTTGTAGAATCTGCAAGTGGATATTTGGATAGCTGTGAAGATTTCGTTGGAAACGGGAATATCTTCCTATAAAATCTAGACAGAAGCATTCTCAGAAACTGCTCTGTGATGTCTGCATTCAAGTCACAGAGTTGAACATTGCCTTTCATAGAGCAGGTTTGAAAGGCTCTTTTTGTACTATATGGAACAGGACGTTTCGAACGGTTTGAGGACCATGGTGATAAAGGGAATATCTTCCCCTACAAGCTAGAAAGAAGCATTCTGTGAAACTTGTTTGTGATGTGTGTACTCAACTAACAGTGTTGAACCTTTCTTTTTACAGAGCAGTTTTGAAACACTCTTTTTGTAGAATCTGCGAGGGGAAATTTGGATAGATTTCAGGATTTCGTTGGAAACGGGAATATCTTCATACAAAATCTCGACAGAAGCATTCTCAGAAACTTCTTTGTGATATGTGCATTCAAGTCACAGAGTTGAATATTCCCTTTCACAGAGTAGGTTTGAAACACTCTTTTTGTAGTATCTGGAAGTGGACATTTGGAGCGCCTTGACTGCCTACGGTGAAAAGGGAAATATCTTCCCATAAAAACTAGACAGAAACAATCTCAGAATCTTCTTTGGGATATATGTACGCAGCTAACAGAGTTGAACCTTTCTATTGACAGAGCAGTTTTGAAACAGTCTTTCTGTGGAATCTGCAAGTGGATATTTGGATAGCTTGGAGGATTTCGTTGGAAACGGGATTACGTATAAAAAGTAGACAGCAGCATCCTCAGAAACTTCTTTGTGATGTGTGCATTCAAGTCACAAGGTTGAACATTCCCTTTCATACAGCAGTTTTGAAACGCTCTTTCTGTAGTATCTGGAAGTGAACTTTAGGACAGCTTTCAGGTCTATGGTGAGAAAGGAAATATCTTCAAATAAAAACTAGACAGAAGCATTCTCATAAACTTGTTTGTGATGTGTGAACTCAGCTAACAGAGGTGGATCTTTCTTTTGATAGAGCAGTTCTGAAAAACACTTTTTGATGAATCTGCAAGTGGACATTTGGATAGATTTGAAGATTTCTTTGGAAACGGGAATATCTTCATATCAAATCTAGACAGAAGCATTCTCAGAGACGTCTTTGTGATGTTTGCATTCAACTCATAGAGTTGAACATTCCCTTTCAGAGAGCAGCTTTGAAGCACTCTTTTTGTAGCATGTGCAAGTGGACATTTGGAGCGCCCTGAGGCCTACGGGGAAAAAGCAAATATCTTCCCATAACCACTAGACAGAAACATTCTCAGAAACTCCTTTATGACGTATGTACTCAACTAACAGAGAAGAACCTTCCTTTTGACAGAGCAGTTTTGATACACTCTTTTTGTAGAATCTGCAAATGGATATTTGGATAGCTGTGAAGATTTCGTTGGAAACGGGAATATCTTCCTATAAAATCTAGACAGAAGCATTCTCAGAAACAGCTCTGTGATGTCTGCATTCAAGTCACAGAGTTGAACATTGCCTTTCATAGAGCAGGTTTGAAACGCTCTTTTTGTAGTATATGTAACTGGAGGTTTCGGACGGTTTGAGGCCCATGGTGATAAAGGGAATATCTTCCCCTACAAGCTAGAAAGAAGCATTCTGTGAAACTTGTTTGTGATGTGTGTACTCAACTAACAGAGTTGAAACTTTCTTTTTACAGAGCAGTTTTGAAACACTCTTTTTGTAGAATCTGCGAGGGGATATTTGGATAGATTTCAGGATTCCGTTGGAAACGGGAATATCTTCATATAAAATCTCGACAGAAGCATTCTCAGAAACTTCATTGTGATATCTGCATTCAAGTCACAGAGTTGAATATTCCCTTTCAGAGAGTAGGTTTGAAACACTCTTTTTGGAGTATCTGGAAGTGGACATTTGGAGTGCCTTGACACCTACGGTGAAAAGGGAAATATCTTCCCATAAAAACTAGACAGAAGCAATCTCAGAATCTTCTTTGGGATATATGCACGCAGCTAACAGAGTTGAACCTTTCTATTGACAGAGCAGTTTTGAAACAGTCTTTCTGTGGAATCTGCAAGTGGATATTTGGATAGCTTGGAGGATTTCGTTAGAAACGGGATTACGTATAAAAAGTAGACAGCAGCATCCTCAGAAACTTCTTTGTGATGTGTGCATTCAAGTCAAAGAGTTGAACATTCCCTTTCATACAGCAGTTTTGAAACACTCTTTCTGTAGTATCTGGAAGTGAACATTAGGACAGCTTTCAGCTCTATGGTGAGAAAGGAAATATCTTCAAATAAAAACTAGACAGAAGCATTCTCATAAACTTGTTTGTGAGGTGTGAACTCAGCTAACAGAGGTGGATCTTTCTTTTGATAGAGCAGTTCTGAAAAACACTTTTTGTTGAATCTGCAAGTGGACATTTGGATAGATTTGAAGATTTCGTTGGAAACGGGAATATCTTCATATCAAATCTAGACAGAAGCATTCTCAGAAACGTCTTTGTGATGTTGGCATTCAACTCATAGAGTTGAACATTCCGTTTCAGAGAGCAGCTTTGAGGCACTCTTTTTGTAGTATGTGCAAGTAGATATTTGGAGCGCTCTGAGGCCTACGGTGAAAAAGCAAATATCTTCCCATAACCACTAGACAGAAACATTCTCAGAAACTCCTTTATGACGTATGCACTCACCTAACAGAGAAGAACCTTCCTTTTGACAGAGCAGTTTTGATACACTCTTTTTGTAGAATCTGCAAGTGGATATTTGGATACCTGTGAAGATTTCGTTGGAAACGGGAATATCTTCCTATAAAATGTAGACAGAAGCATTCTCAGAAACTGCTCTGTGATGTCTGCATTCAAGTCACAGAGTTGAACATTGCCTTTCATAGAGCAGGTTTGAAACGCTCTTTTTGTAGTATATGGAAGTGGATGTTTCGGACGGTTGGAGGCCCATGGTGATAAAGGGAAAATCTTCTCCTACAAGCTAGAAAGAAGCATTCTGTGAAACTTGTTTGTGATGTGTGTACTCAACTAACAGAGTTGAACCTTTCTTTTTACAAAGCAGTTTTGAAACACTCTTTTTGTAGAATCTGCGAGGGGAAATTTGGATAGATTTCAGGATTTCGTTGGAAACGGGAATATCTTCATACAAAATCTCGACAGAACCATTCTCAGAAACTTCCTTGTGATATGTGCATTCAAGTCACAGAGTTGAATATTCCCTTTCACAGAGTAGGTTTGAAACACTCTTTTTGTAGTATCTGGAAGTGGACATTTGGAGCGCCTTGACGCCTACGGTGAAAAGGGAAATATCTTCCCATAAAAACTAGACAGAAGCAATCTCAGAATCTGCTTTGGGATATATGCACGCAGCTAACAGAGTTGAACCTTTCTATTGACAGAGCAGTTTTGAAACAGTCTTTCTGTGGAATCTGCAAGTGGATATTTGGATAGCTTGGAGGATTTCGTTGGAAACGGGATTAAGTATAAAAAGTAGACAGCAGCATCCTCAGAAACTTCCTTGTGATGTGTGCATTCAAGTCACAGAGTTGAACATTCCCTTTCGTACAGCAGTTTTGAAACACTCTTTCTGTAGTATCTGGAAGTGAACTTTAGGAGAGCTTTAAGGTCTATAGTGAGAAAGGATATATTTTCAAATAAAAACTAGACAGAAGCATTCTGATAAACTTGTTTGTGAAGTGTGATCTCAGCTAACAGAGGTGGATCTTTCTTTTGATAGAGCAGTTCTGAAAAACACTTTGTTGAATCTGCAAGTGGACATTTGGATAGATTTGAAGATTTCATTGGAAACGGGAATATCTTCATATCAAATCTAGACAGAAGCATTCTCAGAAACGTCTTTGTGATGTTTGCATTCAACTCATAGAGTTGAACATTCCGTTTCAGAGAGCAGCTTTGAAGCACTCTTTTTGTAGTACGTGCAAGTGGATATTTGGAGTCCTCTGAGGCCTAAGGTGAAAAAGCAAATATCTTCCCACAACCACTAGACAGAAACATTCTCAGAAACTCCTTTATGACGTATGCACTCACCTAACAGAGAAGAACCTTCCTTTGGACAGAGCAGTTTTGATACACTCTTTTTGTAGAATCTGCAATTGGATATTTGGATAGCTGTGAAGATTTCGTTGGAAACGGGAATATCTTCCTATAAAATCTAGACAGAAGCATTCTCAGTAACTGCTCTGTGATGTCTGCATTCAAGTCACAGAGTTGAACATTGCCTTTCATAGAGCAGGTTTGAAACACTCCTTTTTTAGTATATGGAAGTGGACGTTTCGGACGGTTTGAGGCCCATGGTGATAAAGGGAATATCTTCCCCTACAAGCTAGAAAGAAGCATTCTGTGAAACTTGTTTGTGATGTGTGTACTCAACTAACAGAGTTGAACCTTTCTTTTTACAGAGCAGTTTTGAAACACTCTTTTTGTACAATCTGTGAGGGGGTATTTGGATAGATTTCAGGATTTCGTTGGAAACGGGAATATCTTCATATAAAATCTCAACAGAAGCATTCTCAGAAACTTCTTTGTGATATGTGCATTCAAGTCACAGAGTTGAATATTCCCTTTCACAGAGTAGGTTTGAAACACTCTTTTTGTAGTATCTGGAAGTGGACATTTGGAGCGCCTCGACGCCTACGGTGAAAAGGGAAATATCTTCTCATAAAAAGTAGACAGAAGCAATCTCAGAATCTTCTTTGGGATATATGCACGCAGCTAACAGAGTTGAACCTTTCTATTGACAGAGCAGTTTTGAAACAGTCTTTCTGTGGAATATGCAAGTGGATATTTGGATAGCTTGGAGGATTTCGTTGGAAACGGGATTACGCATAAAAAGTAGACAGCAGCATCCTCAGTAAACTTCTTTGTGATGTGTGCTTTCAAGTCACAGTGTTGAACATTCCCTTTCGTACAGCAGTTTTGAAACACTCTTTCTGTAGTATCTGGAAGTGAACATTAGGACAGCTTTCAGGTCTATGGTGAGAAAGGAAATATCTTCAAATAAAAACTAGACAGAAGCATTCTCATAAACTTGTTTCTGATGTGTGAACTCAGCTAACAGAGGTGGATCTTTCTTTTGATAGAGCAGTTCTGAAAAACACTTTTTGTTGAATCTGCAAGTGGACATTTGGATAGATTTGAAGATTTCTTTGGAAACGGGAATATCTTCATATCAAATCTAGACAGAAGCATTCTCAGAAACGTCTTTGTGATGTTTGCATTCAACTCATAGAGTTGAAAATTCCCTTTCAGAGAGCAGCTTTGAAGCACTCTTTTTGTAGTATGTGCAAGTGGATATTTGGAGCGCTCTGAGGCCTACGGTGAAAAAGCAAATATCTTCCCATAACCACTAGACAGAAACATTCTCAGAAACTCCTTTATGACGTGTGCACTCACCTAACAGAGAAGAACCTTCCTTTTTACAGAGCAGTTTTGATACACTCTTTTTGTAGAATCTGCAAGTGGATATTTGGATAGCTGTGAAGATTTCGTTGGAAACGGTAATATCTTCCTATAAAATCTAGACAGAAGCATTCTCAGAAACGTCTTTCCGATGTTTGCATTCAACTCATAGAGTTGAACATTCCCTTTCAGAGAGCAGCTTTGAAGCACTCTTTTTGTACCATGTGCAAGTGGACATTTGGAGGGCCCTGAGGCCTACGGGGAAAAAGCAAATATCTTCCCATAACCACTAGACAGAAACATTCTCAGAAACTCCTTTATGACGTATGCACTCACCTAACAGAGAAGAACCTTCCTTTTTACAGAGCAGTTTTGAAACACTCTTTTTGTAGAATCTGCGAGGGGATATTTGGATAGATTTCAGGATTTCGTTGGAAACGGGAATATCTTCATATAAAATCTCGACAGAAGCATTCTCAGAAACTTCTTTGTGATATGTGCATTCAAGTCACAGAGTTGAATATTCCCTTTCACAGAGTAGGTTTGAAACACTCTTTTTGTAGTATCTGGAAGTGGACATTTGGAGCGCCTTGACACCTACAGTGAAAAGGGAAATATCTTCCCATAAAAACTAGACAGAAGCAATCTCAGAATCTTCTTTGGGATATATGTACGCAGCTAACAGAGTTGAACCTTTCTATTGACAGAGCAGTTTTGAAACAGTCTTTCTGTGGAATCTGCAAGTGGATATTTGGATAGCTTGGAGGATTTCTTTGGAAACGGGATTACGTATAAAAAGTAGACAGCAGCATCCTCAGAAACTTCTTTGTGATGTGTGCATTCAAGTCACAGAGTTGAACATTCCCTTTCGTACAGCAGTTTTGAAACACTCTTTCTGTAGTATCTGGAAGTGAACATTAAGACAGCTTTCAGGTCTATGGTGAGAAAGGAAATATCTTCAAATAAAAACTAGACAGAAGCATTCTCATAAACTTGTTTGTGATGTGTGAACTCAGCTAACAGAGGTGGATCTTTCTTTTGATAGAGCAGTTCTGAAAAACCCTTTTTGTTGAATCTGCAAGTGGACATTTGGATAGATTTGAAGATTTCGTTGGAAACGGGAATATCTTCATATCAAATCTAGACAGAAGCATTCTCAGAAACGTCTTTGTGATGTTTGCATTCAACTCATAGAGTTGAACATTCCCTTTCAGAGACCAGCTTTGAAGCACTCTTTTTGTAGTATGTGCAAGTGGATATTTGGAGCGCTCTGAGGCCTACGGTGAAAAAGCAAATATCTTCCCATAACCACTAGACAGAAACATTCTCAGAAACTCCTTTATGACGTATGCACTCACCTAACAGAGAAGAACCTTCCTTTTGACAGAGCAGTTTTGATACACTCTTTTTGTAGAATCTGCAAGTGGATATTTGGATACCTGTGAAGATTTCGTTGGAAACGGGAATATCTTCCTATAACATACTAGACAGAAGCATTCTCAGCAAACTGCTCTGTGATGTCTGCATTCAAGTCACAGAGTTGAACATTGCCTTTCATAGAGCAGGTTTGAAACGCTCTTTTTGTAGTATATGGAAGTGGACTTTTCGGACGGTTTGAGGCCCATGGTGATAAAGGGAATATCTTCCCCTACAAGCTAGAAAGAAGCATTCTGTGAAACTTGTTTGTGATGTGTGTACTCAACTAACAGAGTTGAACCTTTCTTTTTACAGAGCAGTTTTGAAACACTCTTTTTGTAGAATCTGCGAGGGGAAATTTGGATAGATTTCAGGATTTCGTTGGAAACGGGAATATCTTCATACAAAATCTCGACAGAAGCATTCTCAGAAACTACTTTGTGATATCTGCATTCAAGTCACAGAGTTGAATATTCCCTTTCACAGAGTAGGTTTGAAACACTCTTTTTGTAGTATCTGGAAGTGGACATTTGGAGCGCCTTGACACCTACGGTGAAAAGGGAAATATCTTCCCATAAAAACTAGACAGAAGCAATCTCAGAATCTTCTTTGGGATATATGCACGCAGCTAACAGAGTTGAACCTTTCTATTGAGAGAGCACTTTTGAAAGAGTCTTTCTGTGGAATCTGCAAGTGGATATTTGGATAGCTTGGAGGATTTCGTTGGAAACGGGATTACGTATAAAAAGTAGACAGCAGCATCCTCAGAAACATCCTTGTGATGTGTGCATTCAAGTCACAGAGTTGAACATTCCCTTTCGTACAGCAGTTTTGAAACACTCTTTCTGTAGTATCTGGAAGTGAACTTTAGGAGAGCTTTCAGGTCTATAGTGAGAAAGGATATATCTTCAAATAAAAGCTAGACAGAAGCATTCTCATAAACTTGTTTGTGATGTGTGAACTCAGCTAACAGAGGTGGATCTTTCTTTTGATAGAGCAGTTCTAAAAAACACTTTTTGTTGAATCTGCAAGTGGACATTTGGATAGATTTGAAGATTTCGTTGGAAACGGGAATATCTTCATATCAAATCTAGACAGAAGCATTCTCAGAAACGTCTTTGCGATGTTTGCATTCAACTCATAGAGTTGAACATTCCGTTTCAGAGAGCAGCTTTGAGGCACTCTTTTTGTAGTATGTGCAAGTGGATATTTGGAGCGCTCTGAGGCCTACAGTGAAAAAGCAAATATCTTCCCATAACCACTAGACAGAAACATTCTCAGAAACTCCTTTATGACGTATGTACTCAACTAACAGAGAAGAACCTTCTTTTTGACAGAGCAGTTTTGATACACTCTTTTTGTAGAATCTGCAAGTGCATATTTGGATAGCTGTGAAGATTTCGTTGGAAACGGGAATATCTTCCTATAAAATCTAGACAGAAGCATTCTCAGAAACTGCTCTGTGATGTCTGCATTCAAGTCACAGAGTTGAACATTGCCTTTCATAGAGCAGGTTTGAAATGCTCTTTTTGTAGTATATGGAAGTGGACTTTTCGGACGGTTTGAGGCCCATGGTGATAAAGGGGAATATCTTCCCCTACAAGCTAGAAAGAAGCATTCTGTGAAACTTGTTTGTGATGTGTGTACTCAACTAACAGAGTTGAACCTTTCATTTTACAGAGCAGTTTAGAAACACTCTTTTTGTAGAATCTGCGAGGGGATATTTGGATAGATTTCAGGATTTCGTTGGAAAGGGGAATATCTTCATTTAAAATCTCGACAGAAGCATTCTCAGAAGCTTCTTTGTGATATGTGCATTCAAGTCACAGAGTTGAATATTCCCTTTCACAGAGTAGGTTTGAAACACACTTTTTATAGTATCTGGAAGTGGACATTTGGAGCGCCTTGATGCCTACGGTGAAAAGGGAAATATCTTCCCATAAAAACTAGACAGATAAGCAATCTCAGAATCTTCTTTGGGATATATGCACGCAGCTAACAGAGTTGAACCTTTCTATTGACAGAGCAGTTTTGAAACAGTCTTTCTGTGGAATCTGCAAGTGGATATTTGGATAGATTGGAGGATTTCGTTGGAAACGGGATTACGTATAAAAAGTAGACAGCAGCATCCTCAGAAACTTCTTTGTGATGTGTGCATTCAAGTCAGAGTGTTGAACATTCCCTTTCGTACAGCAGTTTTGAAACACTCTTTCTGTAGTATCTGGAAGTGAACATTAAGACAGCTTTCAGGTCTATGGTGAGAAAGGAAATATCTTCAAATAAAAACTAGACAGAAGCATTCTCATAAACTTGTTTGTGATGTGTGAACTCAGCTAACAGAAGTGGATCTTTCTTTTGATAGAGCAGTTCTGAAAAACACTTTTTGTTGAATCTGCAAGTGGACATTTGAAAAGATTTGAAGATTTCGTTGGAAACGGGAATATCTTCATATCAAATCTAGACAGAAGCATTCTCAGAAACGTCTTTGTGATGTTTGCATTCAACTCATAGAGTTGAATATTCCCTTTCAGAGAGCAGCTGTGAAGCACTCTTTTTGTAGTATGTGCAAGTGGATATTTGGAGCGCTCTGAGGCCTACGGTGAAAAAGCAAATATCTTCCCATAACCACTAGACAGAAACATTCTCAGAAACTCCTTTATGACGTATGCACTCACCTAACAGAGAAGAACCGTCCTTTTGACAGAGCAGTTTTGATACACTCTTTTTGTAGAATCTGCAAGTGGATATTTGGATAGCTGTGAAGATTTCGTTGGAAACGGGAATATCTTCCTATAAAATCTAGACAGAAGCATTCTCAGAAACTGCTCTGTGATGTCTGCATTCAAGTCACAGAGTTGAACATTGCCTTTCATACAGCAGGTTTGAAATGCTCTTTTTGTAGTATATGGAAGTGGACGTTTCAGACGGTTTGAGGCCCATGGTGATAAAGGGAATATCTTCCCCTACAAGCTAGAAAGAAGCATTGTGTGAAACTTATTTGTGATGTGTGTACTCAACTAACAGAGTTGAACCTTTCTTTTTACAGAGCAGTTTTGAAACACTCTTTTTGTAGAATCTGCGAGGGGATATTTGGATACATTTCAGGATTTCGTTGGAAACGGGAATATCTTCATATAAAATCTCGACAGAAGCATTCTCAGAAGCTTCTTTGTGATATGTGCATTCAAGTCACAGAGTTGAATATTCCCTTTCACAGAGTAGGTTTGAAACACACTTTTTGTAGTATCTGGAAGTGGACATTTGGAGCGCCTTGATGCCTACGGTGAAAAGGGAAATATCTTCTCATAAAAAGTAGACAGAAGCAATCTCAGTAATCTTCTTTGGGATATATGCACGCAGCTAACAGTAGTTGAACCTTTCTATTGACAGAGCAGTTTTGAAACAGTCTTTCTGAGGAATCTGCAAGTGGATATTTGGATAGCTTGGAGGATTTCGTTGGAAACGGGATTACGTATAAAAAGTAGACAGCAGCATCCTCAGAAACTTCTTTGTGATGTGTGCATTCAAGTCACAGAGTTGAACATTCCCTTTCGTACGGCAGTTTTGAAACACTCTTTCTGTAGTATCTGGAAGTGAACATTAGGACAGCTTTCAGGTCTATGGTGAGAAAGGAAATATCTTCAAATAAAAACTAGACAGAAGCATTCTCATAAACTTGTTTGTGATGTGTGAACTCAGCTAACAGAGGTGGATCTTTCTTTTGATAGAGCAGTTCTGAAAAACACTTTTTGTTGAATCTGCAAGTGGACATTTGGATAGATTTGAAGATTTTGTTGGAAACGGGAATATCTTCATATCAAATCTAGACAGAAGCATTCTCAGAAACGTCTTTGTGATGTTTGCATTCAACTCATAGAGTTGAACATTCCGTTTCAGAGAGCAGCTTTGAGGCACTCTTTTTGTAGTATGTGCAAGTGGATATTTGGAGCGCTCTGAGGCCTACGGTGAAAAAGCAAATATCTTCCCATAACCACTAGAGAGAAACATTCTCAGAAACTCCTTTATGACGTATGCACTCACCTAACAGAAAAGAACCTTCCTTTTGACAGAGCAGTTTTGATACACTCTTTTTGTAGAATCTGCAAGTGGATATTTGGATAGCTGTGAAGATTTCGTTGGAAACGGGAATATATTCGTATAAAATCTAGACAGAAGCATTCTCAGAAACTGCTCTGTGATGTCTGCATTCAAGTCACAGAGTTGAACATTGCCTTTCCTAGAGCAGGTTTGAAACGCTCTTTTTGTAGTATATGGAAGTGGATGTTTCGTACGGTTGGAGGCCCATGGTGATAAAGGGAATATCTTCCCCTACAAGCTAGAAAGAAGCATTCTGTGAAACTTGTTTGAGATGTGTGTACTCAACTAACAGTGTTGAACCTTTCTTTATACAGAGCAGTTTTGAAACACTCTTTTTGTAGAATCTGCGAGGGGATATTTGGATAGATTTCAGGATTTCGTTGGAAACGGGAATATCTTCATATAAAATCTCGACAGAAGCATTCTCTGAAACTTCTTTGTGATATGTGCATTCAAGTCACAGAGTTGAATATTCCCTTTCACAGAGTAGGTTTGAAACACTCTTTTTGTAGTATCTGGAAGTGGACATTTGGAGCGCCTTGACGCCTACGGTGAACAGGGAAATATCTTCTCATAAAAAGTAGACAGAAGCAATCTCAGAATCTTCTTTGGGATATATGCACGCAGCTAACATAGTTGAACCTTTCTATTGACAGAGCAGTTTTGAAACAGTCTTTCTGTGGAATCTGCAAGTGGATATTTGGATAGCTTGGAGGATTTCGTTGGAAACGGGATTACGTATAAAAAGTAGACAGCAGCATCCTCAGAAACTTCTTTGTGATGTGTGCATTCAAGTCACAGAGTTGAACATACCCTTTCGTACAGCAGTTTTGAAACACTCTTTCTGTAGCATCTGGAAGTGAACATTAGGACAGCTTTCAGGTCTATGGTGAGAAAGGAAATATCTTCAAATAAAAACTAGACAGAAGCATTCTCATAAACTTGTTTGTGATGTGTGAACTCAGCTAAGAGACGTGGATCTTTCTTTTGATAGAGCAGTTCTGAAAAACACTTTTTGTTGAATCTGCAAGTGGACATTTGGACAGATTTGAAGATTTCTTTGGAAACGGGAATATCTTCATATCAAATCTAGACAGAAGCATTCTCAGAAACGTCTTTGTGATGTTTGCATTCAACTCATAGAGTTGAACATTCCGTTTCAGAGAGCAGCTTTGAGGCACTCTTTTTGTAGTATGTGCAAGTGGATATTTGGAGCGCTCTGAGGCCCTCGGTGAAAAAGCAAATATCTTCCCATAACCACTAGACAGAAACATTCTCACAAACTCCTTTATGACGTATGTACTCAACTAACAGAGAAGAACCTTCCTTTTGACAGAGCAGTTTTGATACACTCTTTTTGTAGAATCTGCAAGTGGATATTTGGATAGCTGTGAAGATTTCGTTGGAAACGGGAATACCTTCCTATAAAATCTAGACAGAAGCATTCTCAGAAACTGCTCTGTGATGTCTGCATTCAAGTCACAGAGTTGAACATTGACTTTCATAGAGCAGGTTAGAAACGCTCTTTTTGTACTATATGGAAGAGGACGTTTCGGACGGTTTGAGGACCATGGTGATAAAGGGAATATCTTCCCCTACAAGCTAGAAAGAAGCACTCTGTGAAACTTGTTTGTGATGTGTGTATTCAACTAACAGAGTTGAACCTTTCTTTTTACAGAGCAGTTTTGAAACACTCTTTTTGTAGAATCTGCGAGGGGATATTTGGATAGATTTCAGGATTTCGTTGGAAACGGGAATATCTTCATATAAAATCTCGACAGAAGCATTCTCAGAAACTTCTTTGTGATATCTGCCTTCAAGTCACAGAGTTGAATATTCCCTTTCACAGAGTAGGTTTGAAACACTCTTTTTGTAGTATCTGGAAGTGGACATTTGGAGTGCCTTGACGCCTACGGTGAAAAGGGAAATATCTTCCCATAAAAACTAGACAGAAGCAATCTCAGAATCTTCTTTGGGATATATGCACGCAGCTAACAGAGTTGAACCTTTCTATTGACAGAGCAGTTTTGAAACAGTCTTTCTGTGGAATCTGCAAGTGGATATTTGGATAGCTTGGAGGATTTCGTTGGAAACGGGATTACGTATAAAAAGTAAACAGCAGCATCCTCAGAAACTTCTTTGTGATGTGTGCATTCAAGTCACAGAGTTGAACATTCCCTTTCGTACAGCAATTTTGAAACACTCTTTCTGTAGTATCTGGAAGTGAACATTAGGACAGCTTTCAGCTCTATGGTGAGAAAGGAAATATCTTCAAATAAAAACTAGACAGAAGCATTCTCATAAACTTGTTTATGATGTGTGAACTCAGCTAACAGAGGTGGATCTTTCTTTTGATAGAGCAGTTCTGAAAAACACTTTTTGTTGAATCTGCAAGTGGACATTTGGATAGATTTGAAGATTTCGTTGGAAACGGGAATATCTTCATATCAAATCTAGACAGAAGCATTCTCAGAAACGTCTTTGTGATGTTTGCATTCAACTCATAGAGTTGAACATTCCGTTTCAGAGAGCAGCTTTGAGGCACTCTTTTTGTAGTATGTGCAAGTGGATATTTGGTGCGCTGTGAGGCCAACGGTGAAAAAGCAAATATCTTCCCATAACCACTAGACAGAAACATTCTCAGAAACTCCTTTATGACGTATGCACTCACCTAACAGAGAAGAACCTTCCTTTTGACAGAGAAGTTTTGATACACTCTTTTTGTAGAATCTGCAAGTGGATATTTGGATACCTGTGAAGATTTCGTTGGAAACGGGAATATCTTCCTATAAAATCTAGACAGAAGCATTCTCAGAAACTGCTCTGTGATGTCTGCATTCAAGTCACAGAGTTGAACATTGCCTTTCATAGAGCAGGTTTGAAACACTCTTTTTGTAGTATATGGAAGTGGACGTTTCGGACGGTTTGAGGCCCATGGTGATAAAGGGAATATCTTCCCCTACAAGCTAGAAAGAAGCATTGTGTGAAACTTGTTTGTGATGTGTGTACTCAACTAACAGAGTTGAACCTTTCTTTTTACAGAGCAGTTTTGAAACACTCTTTTTGTAGAATCTGCGAGGGGATATTTGGATAGATTTCAGGATTTCGATGGAAACGGGAATATCTTCATATAAAATCTCGACAGAAGCATTCTCAGAAACTTCTTTGTGATATCTGCATTCAAGTCACAGAGTTGAATATTCCCTTTCACAGAGTAGGTTTGAAACACTCTTTTTGTAGTATCTGGAAGTGGACATTTGGAGCACCTTGACACCTACGGTGAAAAGGGAAATATCTTCCCGATAAAAACTAGACAGAAGCAATCTCAGAATCTTCTTTGGGATATATGCACGCAGCTAACAGCAGTTGAACCTTTCTATTGACAGAGCAGTTTTGAAACAGTCTTTCTGTGGAATCTGCAAGTGGATATTTGGATAGCTTGGAGGATTTCTTTGGAAACGGGACTACGTGTAAAAAGTAGACAGCAGCATCCTCAGAAACTTCTTTGTGATGTGTGCATTCAAGTCACAGAGTTGAATATTCCCTTTCGTACAGCAGTTTTGAAAAACTCTTTCTGTAGTATCTGGAAGTGAACATTAGGACAGCATTCAGGTCTATGGTGAGAAAGGAAATATCTTCAAATAAAAACTACACAGAGGCATTCTCATAAACTTGTTTGTGATGTGTGAACTCAGCTAACAGACGTGGATCTTTCTTTTGATACAGCAGTTTTGAAAAACACTTTTTGTTGAATCTGAAAGTGGACATTTGGATAGATTTGAAGATTTCCTTGGAAACGGGAATATCTTCATATCAAATCTAGACAGAAGCATTCTCAGAGACGTCTTTGTAATGTTTGCATTCAACTCATAGAGTTGAACATTCCCTTTCAGAGAGCAGCTTTGAAGCACTCTTTTTGTAGCATGTGCAAGTGGACATTTGGAGCGCCCTGAGGCCTACGGTGAAAAAGCAAATATCTTCCCATAACCACTAGACAGACAAACATTCTCAGAAACTCCTTTATGACGTATGCACTCACCTAACAGAAAAGAACCTTCCTTTTGACAGAGCAGTTTTGATACACTCTTTTTGTAGAATCTGCAAGTGGATATTTGGATAGCTGTGAAGATTTCGTTGGAAACGGGAATATCTTCCTATAAAATCTAGACAGAAAGCATTCTCAGAAACTGCTCTGTGATGTCTGCATTCAAGTCACAGAGTTGAACATTGCCTTTCATAGAGCAGGTTTGAAACGCTCTTTTTGTAGTATATGGAAGTAGACGTTTCGGACGGCTTGAGGCCCATGGTGATAAAGGGAATATCTTACCCTACAAGCTAGAAAGAAACATTCTCAGAAACTCCTTTATGAAGTATGCACTCACCTAACAGAGAAGAACCTTCCTTTTGACAGAGCAGTTTTGATACACTCTTTTTGTAGAATCTGCAAGTGGATATTTGGATAGCTGTGAAGATTTCATTGGAAACGGGAATATCTTCCTATAAAATCTAGACAGAAGCATTCTCAGAAACTTCTTTGTGATATCTGCATTCAAGTCACAGAGTTGAATATTCCCTTTCACAGAGTAGGTTTGAAACACTCTTTTTGTAGTATCTGGAAGTGGACATTTGGAGCGCCTTGATGCCTACGGTGAAAAGGGAAATATCTTCCCATAAAAACTAGACAGAAGCAATCTCAGAATCTTCTTTGGGATATATGCACGCAGCTAACAGAGTTGAACCTTTCTATTGACAGAGCAGTTTTGAAACAGTCTTTCTGTGGAATCTGCAAGTGGATATTTGGATAGCTTGGAGGATTTTGTTGGAAACGGGATTACGTATAAAAAGTAGACAGCAGCATCCTCCGAAACTACTTTGTGATGTGTGCATTCAAGTCACAGAGTTGAACATTCCCTTTCGTACAGCAGTTTTGAAACACTCTTTCTGTAGTATCTGGAAGTGAACATTAGGACAGCTTTCAGCTCTATGGTGAGAAAGGAAATATCTTCAAATAAAAACTAGACAGAAGCATTCTCATAAACCTTTTTGTGATGTGTGAACTCAGCTAACAGAGGTGGATCTTTCTTTTGATAGAGCAGTTCTGAAAAACACTTTTTGTTGAATATGCAAGTGGATATTTGGATAGATTTGAAGATTTCGTTGGAAACGGGAATATCTTCATATCAAATCTAGACAGAAGCATTCTCAGAAACGTCTTTGTGATGTTTGCATTCAACTCATAGAGTTGAACATTCCGTTTCAGAGAGCAGCTTTGAGGCACTCTTTTTGTAGTATGTGCAAGTGGGTATTTGGAGCGCTCTGAGGCCTACGGTGAAAAAGCAAATATCTTCCCATAACCACTAGACAGATACATTCTCAGAAACTCCTTTATGACGTATGCACTCACCTAACAGAGAAGAACCTTCCTTTTGACAGAGCAGTTTTGATACACTCTTTTTGTAGAATCTCCAAGTGGATATTTGGATAGCTGTGAAGATTTCGTTGGAAACGGGAATATCTTCTTATGAAATCTAGACAGAAGCATTCTCAGAAACTGCTCTGTGATGTCTGCATTCAAGTCACAGAGTTGAACATTGCCTTTCATATAGCAGGTTTGAAACGCTCTTTTTGTAGTATATGGAAGTGGACTTTTCGGACGGTTTGAGGCCCATGGTGATAAAGGGAATATCTTCCCCTACAAGCTAGAAAGAAGCATTCTGTGAAACTTGTTTGTGATGTGTGTACTCAACTAACAGAGTTGAACCTTTCTTTTCACAGAGCAGTTTTGAAACACTCTTTTTGTAGAATCTGCGAGGGGAAATTTGGATAGATTTCAGGATTTCGTTGGAAACGGGAATATCTTCATACAAAATCTCGACAGAAGCATTCTCAGAAACTTCTTTGTGATATGTGCATTCAAGTCACAGAGTTGAATATTCCCTTTCACAGAGTAGGTTTGAAACACTCTTTTTGTACTATCTGGAAGTGGACATTTGGAGCGCCTTGACGCCTACGGTGAAAAGGGAAATATCTTCCCATAAAAACTAGACAGAAGCAATCTCAGAATCTTCTTTGGGATATATGCACGCAGCTAATAGAGTTGAACTTTTCTATTGACAGAGCAGATTTCAAACAGTGTTTCTGTGGAATCTGCAAGTGGATATTTGGATAGCCTGGAGGATTTCGTTGGAAACGGGATTACGTATAAAAAGTAGACAGCAGCATCCTCAGAAACTTCTTTGTGATGTGTGCATTCAAGTCACAGAGTTGAACATTCCCTTTCGTACAACAGTTTTGAAACACTCTTTCTGTAGTATCTGGAAGTGAACATTAGGACAGCTTTCAGCTCTATGATGAGAAAGGAAATATCTTCAAATAAAAACTAGACAGAAGCATTCTCATAAACTTGTTTGTGATGTGTGAACTCAGCTAACAGAGGTGGATCTTTCTTTTGATAGAGCAGTTCTGAAAAACACTTTTTGTTGAATCTGCAAGTGGACATTTGGATAGATTTGAAGATTTCGTTGGAAACGGGAATATCGTCATATCAAATCTAGACAGAAGCATTCTCAGAAACGTCTTTGCGATGTTTGCATTCAACTCATAGAGTTGAACATTCCGTTTCTGAGAGCAGCTTTGAGGCACTCTTTTTGTAGTATGTGCAAGTGGATATTTGGAGCGCTCTGAGGCCTACGGTGAAAAAGCAAATATCTTCCCATAACCACTAGACAGAAACATTCTCAGAAACTCCTTTATGACGTATGCACTCACCTAAGAGAGAAGAACCTTCCTTTTGACAGAGCAGTTTTGATACACTCTTTTTGTAGAATCTGCAAGTGGATATTTGGATAGCTGTGAAGATTTCGTTGGAAACGGGAATATCTTCTTATAAAATCTAGACAGAAGCATTCTCAGAAACTGCTATGTGATGTCTGCATTCAAGTCACAGAGTTGAACATTGCCTTTCCTAGAGCAGGTTTGAAACGCTCTTTTTTTAGTATATGGAAGTGGACGTTTCGGACGGTTTGAGGCCCATGGTGATAAAGGGAATATCTTCCCCTACAAGCTAGAAAGAAGCATTGTGTGAAAATTGTTTGTGATGTGTGTACTCAACTAACAGAGTTGAACCTTTCTTTTTACAGAGCAGTTTTGAAACACTCTTTTTGTAGAATCTGCGAGGGGATATTTGGATACATTTCAGGATTTCGTTGGAAACGGGAATATCTTCATATAAAATCTCGACAGAAGCATTCTCAGAAACTTCTTTGTGATATGTGCATTCAAGTCACAGAGTTGAATATTCCCTTTCACAGAGTAGGTTTGAAACACTCTTTTTGTAGTATCTGGAAGTGGACATTTGGAGCGCCTTGACGCCTACGGTGAAAAGGGAAATATCTTCCCATACAAACTAGACAGAAGCAATCTCAGAATCTTCTTTGGGATATATGCACGCAGCTAACGGAGTTGAACCTTTCTATTGACAGAGCAGTTTTGAAACAGTCTTTCTGTGGAATCTGCAAGTGGATATTTGGATAGCTTGGAGGATTTCGTTGGAAACGGGATTACGTATAAAAAGTAGACAGCAGCATCCTCAGAAACTTCTTTGTGATGTGTGCATTCAAGTCACAGAGTTGAACATTCCCTTTCGTACAGCAGTTTTGAAACACTCTTTCTGTAGTAACTGGAAGTAAACATTAGGACAGCTTTCAGGTCTATGGTGAGAAAGGAAATATCTTCAAATAAAAACTAGACAGAAGCATTCTCATAAACTTGTTTGTGATGTGTGAACTCATCTAACAGAGGTGGATCTTTCTTTTGATAGAGCAGTTCTGAAAAACACTTTTTGTTGAATCTGCAAGTGGACATTTGGATAGATTTGAAGATTTCGTTGGTAACGGGAATATCTTCATATCAAATCTAGACAGAAGCATTCTCAGAAACGTCTTTGTGATGTTTGAATTCAACTCATAGAGTTGAACATTCCGTTTCAGAGAGCAGCTTTGAAGCACTCTTTTTGTAGTATGTGCAAGGGGATATTTGGAGCGCTCTGAGGCCTACGGTGAAAAAGCAAATATCTTCCCATAACCACTAGACAGAAACATTCTCAGAAACTCCTTTATGACGTATGTACTCAACTAACAGAGAAGAACCTTCCTTTTGACAGAGCAGTTTTGATACACTCTTTTTGTAGAATCTGCAAGTGGATATTTGGATAGCTGTGAAGATTTCGTTGGAAACGGGAATATCTTCCTATAAAATCTAGACGGAAGCATTCTCAGAAACTGCTCTGTGATGTCTGCATTCAAGTCACAGAGTTGAACATTGCCTTTCATAGAGTAGGTTTGAAACGCTCTTTTTGTAGTATATGGAAGTGGACGTTTCGGACGGTTTGAGGCCCATGGTGATAAAGGGAATATCTTCCCCTACAAGCTAGAAAGAAGCATTCTGTGAAACTTGTTTGTGATGTGTGTACTCAACTAACAGAGTTGAACCTTTCTTTTTACAGAGCAGTTTTGAAACACTCTTTCTGTAGAATCTGCGAGGGGATATTTGGATACATTTCAGGATTTCGTTGGAAACGGGAATATCTTCATAGAAAATCTCGACAGAAGCATTCTCAGAAACTTCTTTGTGATATCTGCATTCAAGTCACAGAGTTGAATATTCCCTTTCACAGAGTAGGTTTGAAACACTCTTTTTGTAGTATCTGGAAGTGGACATTTGGAGCGCCTTGACACCTACGGTGAAAAGGGAAATATTTTCCCATAAAAACTAGACAGAAGCAATCTCAGAATCTTCTTTGGGATATATGCACGCAGCTAACAGAGTTGAACCTTTCTATTGACAGAGCAGTTTTGAAACAGTCTTTCTGTGGAATCTGCAAGTGGATATTTTGATAGATTGGAGGATTTCGTTGGAAACGGGATTACGTATAAAAAGTAGACAGCAGCATCCTCAGAAACTTCTTTGTGATGTGTGCATTCAAGTCACAGAGTTGAACATTCCCTTTCATACAGCAGTTTTGAAACACTCTTTCTGTAGTATCTGGAAGTGAACATTAGGACAGCTTTCAGCTCTATGGTGAGAAAGGAAATATCTTCAAATAAAAACTAGACAGAAGCATTCTCATCAACTTGTTTGTGATGTGTGAACTCAGCTAACAGAGGTGGATCTTTCTTTTGATAGAGCAGTTTTGAAAAACACTTTTTGTTGAATCTGCAAGTGGACATTTGGATAGATATGAAGATTTCGTTGGAAACGGGAATATCTTCATATCAAATCTAGACAGAAGCATTCTCAGAAACGTCTTTGTGATGTTTGCATTCAACTCATAGAGTTGAACATTCCCTTTCAGAGAGCAGCTTTGAAGCTCTCTTTTTGTAGTATGTGCAAGGGTATATTTGGAGCTCTCTGAGGCCTAAGGTGAAAAAGCAAATATCTTCCCATAACCACTAGACAGAAACATTCTCAGAAACTCCTTTATGACGTATGCACTCACCTAACAGAAAAGAACCTTCCTTTTGACAGAGCAGTTTTGATACACTCTTTTTGTAGAATCTGCAAGTGGATATTTGGATAGCTGTGAAGATTTCATTGGAAACGGGAATATCTTCCTATAAAATCTAGACAGAAGCATTCTCAGAAACTGCTCTGTGATGTCTGCATTCAAGTCACAGAGTTGAACATTGCCTTTCATAGAGCAGGTTTGAAACGCTCTTTTTGTAGTATATGGAAGTGGATGTTTCGGACGGTTGGAGGCCCATGGTGATAAAGGGAATATCTTCCCCTACAAGTCTAGAAAGAAGCATTGTGTGAAACTTGTTTGTGATGTGTGTACTCAACTAACAGATTTGAACCTTTCTTTTTACAGAGCAGTTTTGAAACACTCTTTTTGTAGAATCTGCGAGGGGATATTTGGATAGATTTCAGGATTTCGTTGGAAACGGGAATATCTTCATATAAAATCTCGACAGAAGCATTCTCAGAAAACTTCTTTGTGATATGTGCATTCAAGTCACAGAGTTGAATATTCCCTTTCACAGAGTAGGTTTGAAACACTCTTTTTGTAGTATCTGGAAGTGGACATTTGGAGCGCCTTGACACCTACGGTGAAAAGGGAAATATCTTCCCATAAAAACTAGACAGAAGCAATCTCAGAATCTTCTTTGGGATATATGCACGCAGCTAACAGAGTTGAATCTTTCTGTTGACAGAGCAGATTTGAAACAGTCTTTCTGTGGAATCTGCAAGTGGATATTTGGATAGATTGGAGGATTTCATTGGAAACGGGATTACGTATAAAAAGTAGACAGCAGAATCCTCAGAAACTTCTTTGTGATGTGTGCATTCAAGTCACAGGGTTGAACATTCCCTTTCGTACAGCAGTTTTGAAACACTCTTTCTGTAGTATCTGGAAGTGAACATTAGGACAGCTTTCAGGTCTATGGTGAGAAAGGAAATATCTTCAAATAAAAACTAGACAGAAGCATTCTCATAAACTTGTTTGTGATGTGTGGACTCAGCTAACAGAGGCGGATCTTTCTTTTGATAGAGCAGTTCGGGAAAACACTTTTTGTTGAATCTGCAAGTGGACATTTGGATAGATTTGAAGATTTCGTTGGAAACGGGAATATCTTCATATCAAATCTAGACAGAAGCATTCTCAGAAACGTCTTTGTGATGTTTGCATTCAACTCATAGAGTTGAACATTCCCTTTCAGAGAGCAGCTTTGAAGCACTCTTTTTGTAGCATGTGCAAGTGGACATTTGGAGCGCCCTGAGGCCTACGGTGAAAAAGCAAATATCTTCCCATAACCACTAGACAGAAACATTCTCAGAAACTCCTTTATGACGTATGCACTCACCTAACAGAGAAGAACCTACCTTTTGACAGAGCAGTTTTGATACACTCTTTTTGTAGAATCTGCGAGGGGATATTTGGAGAGATTTCAGGATTTCGTTGGAAACGGGAATATCTTCATATAAAATCTCGACAGAAGCATTCTCAGAAACTGCTCTGTGATGTCTGCATTCAAGTCACAGAGTTGAACATTGCCTTTCATAGAGTAGGTTTGAAACGCTTTTTTGTAGTATATGGAAGTGGATGTTTCGGACGGTTGGAGGCCCATGGTGATAAAGGGAATATCTTCCCCTACAAGCTAGAAAGAAGCATTCTGTGAAACTTGTTTGTGATGTGTGTACTCAACTAACAGAGTTGATCCTTTCTTTTTACAGAGCAGTTTTGAAACACTCTTTTTGTAGAATCTGCGAGGGGATATTTGGATAGATTTCAGGATTTCGTTGGAAACGGGAATATCTTCATATAAAATCTCGACAGAAGCATTCTCAGAAACTTCTTTGTGATATGTGCATTCAAGTCACAGAGTTGAATATTCCCTTTCACAGAGTAGGTTTGAAACACTCTTTTTGTCGTATCTAGAAGTGGACATTTGGAGTGCATTGACGCCTACGGTGAAAAGGGAAATATCTTCCCATAAAAACTAGACAGAAGCAATCTCAGAATCTTCTTTGGGATATATGCACGCAGCTAACAGAGTTGAACCTTTCTATTGACAGAGCAGTTTTGAAACAGTCTTTCTGTGGAATCTGCAAGTGGATATTTGATAGCTTGGAGGATTTCGTTGGAAACGGGATTACGTATAAAAAGTAGACAGCAGCATCCTCAGAAACTACTTTGTGATGTGTGCATTCAAGTCACAGAGTTGAAAATTCCCTTTCGTACAGCAGTTTTGAAACACTCTTTCTGTAGTATCTGGAAGTGAACATTAGGACAGCTTTCAGGTCTATAGTGAGAAAGGATATATCTTCAAATAAAAACTAGACAGAAGCATTCTCATAAACTTGTTCGTAATGTGTGAACTCAGCTAACACACGTGGATCTTTCTTTTGATAGAGCAGTTCTGAAAAACACTTTTTGTTGAATCTGCAAGTGGACATTTGGATAGATTTGAAGATTTCGTTGGAAACGGGAATATCCTTCATATCAAATCTAGACAGAAAGCATTCTCAGAAACGTCTTTGTGATGTTTGCATTCAACTCATAGAGTTGAACATTCCGTTTCAGAGACCAGCTTTGAAGCACTCTTTTTGTAGTATGTGCAAGTGGATATTTGGAGCGCTCTGAGGCCTACGGTGTAAAAGCAAATATCTTCCCATAACCACTAGACAGAAACATTCTCAGAAACTCCTTTATGACGTATGTACTCAACTAACAGAGAAGAACCTTCCTTTTGACAGAGCAGTTTTGATACACTCTTTTTGTGGAATCTGCAAGTGGATATTTGGATAGCTGTGAAGATTTCGTTGGAAACGGGAATATCTTCCTATAAAATCTAGACAGAAGCATTCTCAGAAACTGCTCTGTGATGTCTGCATTCAAGTCACAGAGTTGAACATTGCCTTTCATAGAGCAGGTTTGAAACGCTCTTTTTGTAGTATATGGAAGTAGTCGTTTCGGACGGTTTGAGGCCCATGGTGATAAAGGGAATATCTTCCCCTACAAGCTAGAAAGAAGCATTCTGTGAAACTTGTTTGTGATGTGTGTACTCAACTAACAGAGTTGAACCTTTCTTTTTACAGAGCAGTTTTGAAACACTCTTTTTGTAGAATCTGCGAGGGGATATTTGGATAGATTTTAGGATTTCGTTGGAAACGGGAATATCTTCATATAAAATCTCGACAGAAGCATTCTCAGAAACTTCTTTGTGATATCTGCATTCAAGTCACAGAGTTGAATATTCCCTTTCACAGAGTAGGTTTGAAACACTCTTTGTGGTATCTGGAAGTGGACATTTGGAGCGCCTTGACGCCTACGGTGAAAAGGGAAATATCTTCCCATAAAAACTAGACAGAAGTAATCTCAGAATCTTCTTTGGGATATATGCACGCAGCTAACAGAGTTGAACCTTTCTATTGACAGAGCAGTTTTGAAACAGTCTTTCTGTGGAATCTGCAAGTGGATATTTGGATAGCTTGGAGGATTTCGTTGGAAACGGGATTACGTATAAAAAGTGGACAGCAGCATCCTCAGAAACTTCTTTGTGATGTGTGCATTCAAGTCACAGGAGTTGAACATTCCCTTTCGTACAGCAGTTTTGAAACACTCTTTCTGTAGTATCTGGAAGTGAACATTACGACAGCTTTCAGGTCTATGGTGAGAAAGGAAATATCTTCAAATAAAAACTAGACAGAAGCATTCTCATAAACCTGTTTGTGATGTGGGAACTCAGCTAACAGAGGTGGATCTTTCTTTTGATAGAGCAGTTCTGAAAAACACTTTTTGTTGAATCTGCAAGTGGACATTTGGATAGATTTGAAGATTTCGTTGGAAACGGGAATATCTTCATATCAAATCTAGACAGAAGCATTCTCAGAAAACGTCTTTGCGATGTTTGCATTCAACTCATAGAGTTGAACATTCCGTTTCAGAGAGCAGCTTTGAGGCACTCTTTTTGTAGTATGTGCAAGTGGATATTTGGAGCGCTCTGAGGCCTACGGTGAAAAAGCAAATATCTTCCCATAACCACAAGACAGAAACATTCTCAGAAACTCCTTTATGACGTATGCACTCACCTAACAGAAAAGAACCTTCCTTTTGACAGAGCAGTTTTGATACACTCTTTTTGTAGAATCTGCAAGTGGATATTAGGATAGCTGTGAAGATTTCGTTGGAAACGGGAATATCTTCCTATAAAATCTAGACAGAAGCATTCTCAGAAGCTGCTCTGTGATGTCTGCATTCAAGTCACAGAGTTGAACATTGCCTTTCATGGAGCAGGTTTGAAACGCTCTTTTTGTACTATATGGAAGTGGACGTTTCGGACGGTTTGAGGCCCATGGTGATAAAGGGAATATCTTCCCCTACAAGCTAGAAAGAAGCATTCTGTGAAACTTGTTTGTGATGTGTGTACTCAACTAACAGAGTTGAACCTTTCTTTTTACAGAGCAGTTTTGAAACACTCGTTTTGTAGAATCTGCGAGGGGATATTTGGATAGATTTCAGGATTTCGTTGGAAACGGGAATATCTTCATATAAAATCTCGACAGAAGCATTCTCAGAAACTTCTTTGTGATATCTGCATTCAAGTCACAGAGTTGAATATTCCCTTTCACAGAGTAGGATTGGAACACTCTTTTGTAGTATCTGGAAGTGGACATTTGGAGCGCCTTGACGCCTACGGTGAAAACGGAAATATCTTCCCATAAAAACTAGACAGAAGCAATCTCAGAATCTTCTTTGGGATATATGCACGCAGTTAACAGAGTTGAACCTTTCTATTGACAGAGCAGTTTTGAAACAGTCTTTCTGTGGAATCTCCAATTGGATATTTGGATAGCTTGGAGGATTTCGTTGGAAACGGGATTACGTATAAAAAGTAGACAGCAGCATCCTCAGAAACTTCTTTGGGATGTGTGCATTCAAGTCACAGAGTTGAACATTCCCTTTCGTACAGCAGTTTTGAAACACTCTTTCTGTAGTATCTGGAAGTGAACATTAGGACAGCTTTCCGGTCTATGGTGAGAAAGGAAATATCTTCAAATAAAAACTAGACAGAAGCATTCTCATAAGCTTGTTTGTGATGTGTGAACTCAGCTAACAGAGGTGGATCTTTCTTTTGATAGAGCAGTTCTGAAAAACACTTTTTGTTGAATCTGCAAGTGGACATTTGGATAGATTTGAAGATTTCGTTGGAAACGGGAATATCTTCATATCAAATCTAGACAGAAGCATTCTCAGAAACGTCTTTGTCATGTTTGCATTCAACTCATAGAGTTGAACATTCCGTTTCAGAGAGGAGGTTTGAAGCACTCTTTTTGTAGTATGTGCAAGTGGATATTTGGAGCGCTCTGAGGCCTACGGTGAAAAAGCAAATATCTTCCCATAACCACTAGACAGAAACATTCTCAGAAACTCCTTAATGACGTATGCACTCACCTAACAGAGAAGAACCTTCCTTTTGACAGAGCAGTTTTGATACACTCTTTTTGTAGAATCTGCAAGTGGATATTTGGATAGCTGTGAAGATTTCGTTGGAAACGGGAATATCTTCCTATAAAATCTAGACAGAAGCATTCTCAGAAACTGCTCTGTGATGTCTGCATTCAAGTCACAGAGTTGAACATTGCCTTTCATAGAGCAGGTTTCAAACACTCTTTTTTTAGTATATGGAAGTGGACGATTCGGACGGTTTGAGGACCATGGTGATAAAGGAAATATCTTCCCCTACAAGCTAGAAAGAAGCATTCTGTGAAACTTGTTTGTGATGTGTGTACTCAACTAACAGTAGTTGAACCTTTCTTTTTACAGAGCAGTTTTGAAACACTCTTTTTGTAGAATCTGCGAGGGGATATTTGGATAGATTTCAGGATTTCGTTGGAAACGGGAATATCTTTATATAAAATCTCGACAGAAGCATTCTCAGAAACTTCTTTGTGATATCTGCATTCAAGTCACAGAGTTGAATATTCCCTTTCACAGAGTAGGTTTGAAACACTCTTTTTGTAGTATCTGGAAGTGGACATTTGGAGCGCCTTGACTGCTACGGAGAAAAGGGAAATATCTTCCCTAAAAAACTAGACAGAAGCAATCTCAGAATCTTCTTTGGGATATATGCACGCAGCTAACAGAGTTGAACCTTTCTATTGACAGAGCAGTTTTGAAACAGTCTTTCTGTGGAATCTGCAAGTGGATATTTGGATAGCTTGGAGGATTTCGTTGGAAAAGGGATTACGTATAAAAAGTAGACAGCAGCATCCTCAGAAACTTCTTTGTGATGTGTGCATTCAAGTCACAGAGTTGAACATTTCCTTTCGTACAGCAGTTTTGAAACACTCTTTCTGTAGTATCTGGAAGTGAACATTAGGACAGCTTTCAGGTCTATGGTGAGAAAGGAAATATCTTCAAATAAAAACTATACAGAAGCATTTTCATAAACTTGTTTGTGATGTGTGAACTCAGCTAACAGAGGTGGATCTTTCTTTTGATAGAGCAGTTCTGAAAAACACGTTTTGTTGAATCTGCAAGTGGACATTTGGATAGATTTGAAGATTTCGTTGGAAACGGGAATATCTTCATATCAAATCTAGACAGAAGCATTCTCAGAAACGTCTTTGTGATGTTTGCATTCAACTCATAGAGTTGAACATTCCCTTTCAGAGAGCAGCTTTGAAGCACTCATTTTGTAGTATGTGCAAGTGGACATTAGGAGCACTTTGAGGCCTACGGTGAAAAAGCAAATATCTTCCCATAACCACTAGACAGAAACCTTCTCAGAAACTTCTTTATGACGTATGTACTCAACTAACAGAGAAGAACCTTCCTTTTGACAGAGCAGTTTTGATACACTCTTCTTGTAGAATCTGCAAGTAGATATTTGGATATCTGTGAAGAATTCGTTGGAAAAGGGAATATCTTTCTATAAAATCTAAACAAAAGCATTCTCAGAAACTGCTCTGTGATGTCTGCATTCAAGTCACAGAGTTGAACATTGCCTTTCATAGAGCAGGTTTGAATCGCTCTTTTTGTAGTATATGGAAGTGGACGTTTCAGACGGTTTGAGGCCCATGGTGATAAAGGGAATATCTTCCCCTACAAGCTAGAAAGAAGCATTCTGTGAAACTTGTTTGTGATGTGTGTACTCAACTAACAGAGTTGAACCTTTCTTTTTACAGAGCAGTTTTGGAACACTCTTTTTGTAGAATCTGCGAGGGGATATTTAGATAGATTTCAGGATTTCGTTGGAAACGGGAATATCTTCATATAAAATCTCGACAGAAGCATTCTCAGAAACTTCTTTGTGATATGTGCATTCAAGTCACAGAGTTGAATATTCCCTTTCACAGGAGTAGGTTTGAAACACTCTTTTTGTAGTATCTGGAAGTGGACATTTGGAGCGCCTTGACGCCTACGGTGAAAAGGGAAATATCTTCCCATAAAAACTAGACAGAAGCAATCTCAGAATCTTCTTTGGGATATATGCACGCAGCTAACAGAGTTGAACCTTTCTATTGACAGAGCAGTTTTGAAACAGTCTTTCTGTGGAATCTGCAAGTGGATATTTAGATAGCTTGGAGGATTTCGTTGGAAACGGGATTACGTATAAAAAGTAGACAGCAGCATCCTCAGAAACTTCCTTGTGATGTGTGCATTCAAGTCACAGAGTTGAACATTCCCTTTCGTACAGCAGTTTTGAAACACTCTTTCTGTAGTATCTGGAAGTGAACATTAGGACAGGTTTCAGGTCTATGGTGAGAAAGGAAATATCTTCAAATAAAAACTAGACAGAAGCATTCTCATAAACTTGTTTGTGATGTGTGAACTCAGCTAACAGAGGTGGATCTTTCTTTTGATAGAGCAGTTCTGAAAAACACTTTTTGTTGAATCTGCAAGTGGACATTTGGATAGATTTGAAGATTTCGTTGGAAACGGGAATATCTTCATATCAAATATAGACAGAAGCATTCCCAGAAACGTCTTTTTGATGTTTGCATTCAACTCATAGAGTTGAACATTCTCTTTCAGAGAGCAGCTTTGAAGCACTCTTTTTGTAGTATGTGCAAGGGGATATTTGGAGCGCTCTGAGGCCTAAGGTGAAAAAGCAAATATCTTCCCATAACCACTAGACAGAAACATTCTCAGAAACTACTTTATGACGTATGTACTCAACTAACAGAGAAGAACCTTCCTTTTGACAGAGCAGTTTTGATACACTCTTTTTGTAGAATCTGCAAGTGGATATTTGGATAGCTGTGAAGATTTCGTTGGAAACGGGAATACCTTCCTATAAAATCTAGACAGAAGCATTCTCAGAAACTGCTCTGTGATGTCTGTATTCAAGTCACAGAGTTGAACATTGCCTTTCATAGAGCAGGTTTGAAACGCTCTTTTTGTAGTATACGGAAGTGGATGTTTCGGACGGTTGGAGGCCCATGGTGATAAAGGGAATATCTTCCCCTACAAGCTAGAAAGAAGCATTCTGTGAAACTTGTTTGTGATGTGTGTACTCAACTAACAGAGTTGAACCTTTCTTTTTACAGAGCAGTTTTGAAACACTCTTTTTGTAGAATCTGCGAGGGGATATTTGGATAGATTTCAGGATTTCTTTGGAAACGGGAATATCTTCATATAAAATCTCGACAGAAGCATTCTCAGAAACTTCTTTGTGATATCTGCATTCAAGTCACAGAGTTGAATATTCCCTTTCACAGAGTAGGATTGAAACACTCTTTTTGTAGTATCTGGAAGAGGACATTTGGAGCACCTTGACGCCTGCGGTGAAAAGGGAAATATCTTCCCATAAAAACTAGACAGAAGCAATCTCAGAATCTTCTTTGGGATATATGCACGCAGCTAACAGAGTTGTACCTTTCTATTGACAGAGCAGTTTTGAAACAGTCTTTCTGTGGAATCTGCAAGTGGATATTTGGATAGCTTGGAGGATTTCATTGGAAACGGGATTACATATAAAAAGTAGACAGCAGCATCCTCAGAAACTTCTTTGTGATGTGTGCATTCAAGTCACAGGGTTGAACATTTCCTTTCATACAGCAGTTTTGAAACACTCTTTCTGTAGTATCTGGAAGTGAACATTAGGACAGCTTTCAGGTCTATGGTGAGAAAGGAAATATCTTCAAATAAAAACTAGACACAAGCATTCTCATAAACTTGTTTGTGATGTGTGAACTCAGCTAACAGAGGTGGATCTTTCTTTTGATAGAGCAGTTCTGAAAAACACTTTTTGTTGATTATGCAAGTGGACATTTGGATAGATTTGAAGATTTCGTTGGAAACGGGAATATCTTCATATCAAATCTAGACAGAAGCATTCTCAGAAACGTCGTTGTGATGTTTGCATTCAACTCATAGAGTTGAACATTCCGTTTCAGAGAGCAGCTTTGAGGTACTCTTTTTGTAGTATGTGCAAGTGGATATTTGGAGCGCTCTGAGGCCTACGGTGAAAAAGCAAATATCTTCCCATAACCACTAGACAGAAACATTCTCAGAAACTCCTTTATGACGTATGCACTCACCTAACAGAGAAGAACCTTCCTTTTGACAGTGCAGTTTTGATACACTCTTTTTGTAGAATCTGCAAGTGGTTATTTGGATAGCTGCGAAGATTTCCTTGGAAACGGGAATATCTTCCTATAAAATCTAGACAGAAGCATTCTCAGAAACTGCTCTATGATGTCTGCATTCAAGTCACAGAGTTGAACATTGCCTTTCATGGAGCAGGTTTGAAACGCTCTTTTTGTAGTATATGGAAGTGGACGTTTCGGACGGTTTGAGGCCCATGGTGATAAAGGGAATATCTTCCCCTACGAGCTAGAAAGAAGCATTCTGTGAAACTTGTTTGTGATGTGTGTACTCAACTAACAGAGTTGAACCTTTCTTTTTACAGAGCAGTTTTGAAACACTCTTTTTGTAGAATCTGCGAGGGGAAGTTTGGATAGATTTCAGGATTTCGTTGGAAACGGGAATATCTTCATATAAAATCTCGACAGAAAGCATTCTCAGAAACTTCTTTGTGATATCTGCATTCAAGTCACAGAGTTGAATATTCCCTTTCACAGAGTAGGTTTGAAACACTCTTTTTGTAGTATCTGGAAGTGGACATTTGGAGCGCCTTGACGCCTACGGTGAAAAGGGAAATATCTTCTCATAAAAACTAGACAGAGCAATCTCAGAATCGTCTTTGGGATATATGCACGCAGCTAACAGAGTTGAACCTTTCTATAGACAGAGCAGTTTTGAAACAGTCTTTCTGTGGAATCTGCAAGTGGATATTTGGATAGCTTGGAGGATTTCGTTGGAAACGGGATTACGTATAAAAAGTAGACAGCAGCATCCTCAGAAACTTCTTTGTGATGTGTGCATTCAAGTCACAGAGTTGAACATTCCCTTTCGTACAGCAGTTTTGAAACACTCTTTCTGTAGTATCTGGAAGTGAACATTAGTACAGCTTTCAGGTCTATGGTGAGAAACGAAATATCTTCAAATAAAAACTAGACAGAAGCATTCTCATAAACTTGTTTGTGATGTGCGAACTCAGCTAAGAGAGGTGGATCTTTCTTTTGATAGAGCAGTTCTGAAAAACACTTTTTGTTGAATCTGCAAGTGGACATTTGGATAGATTTGAAGATTTCGTTGGAAACGGGAATATCTTCATATCAAATCTAGACAGAAGCATTCTCAGAAACGTCTTTGTGATGTTTGCATTCAACTCATAGAGTTGAACATTCCGTTTCAGAGAGCAGCTTTGAAGCACTCTTTTTGTAGTATGTGCAACTGGATATTTGGAGCGCTCTGAGGCCTACGGGGAAAAAGCAAATATCTTCCCATAACCACTAGACAGAAACATTCTCAGAAACTTCTTTATGACGTATGTACTCAACTAGCAGAGAAGAACTTTCCTTTTGACAGAGCACTTTTGATACACTCTTTTTGTAGTATCTGCAAGTGGATATTTGGATAGCTGTGAAGATTTCGTTTTAAACGGGAATATCTTCCTATAAAGTCTGGAGAGAAGCATTCTCAGAAACTGCTCTGTGATGTCTGCATTCAAGTCACAGAGTTGAACATTGCCTTTCCTAGAGCAGGTTTGAAACGCTCTTTTTGTAGTATATGGAAGTGGACGTTTCGGACGGTTTGAGGCCCATGGTGATAAAGGGAATATCTTCCCCTAAAAGCTAGAAAGAAGCATTCTGTGAAACTTGTTTGTGATGTGTGTAGTCAACTAACAGAGTTGAACCTTTCTTTTTACAGAGCAGTTTTGAAACACTCTTTTTGTAGAATCTGTGAGGGGATATTTGGATAGATTTCAGGATTTCGTTGGAAACGTGAATATCTTCATATAAAATCTCGACAGAAGCATTCTCAGAAACTTCTTTGTGATATGTGCATTCAAGTCACAGAGTTGAATATTCCCTTTCACAGAGTAGGTTTGAAACACTCTTTTTGTAGTATCTGGAAGTGGACATTTGGAGCGCATTGACGCCTACGGTGAAAAGGGAAATATCTTCCCATAAAACCTAGACAGAAGCAATCTCAGAATCTTCTTTGGGATATATGCACGCAGCTAACGGAGTTGAATCTTTCTATTGACAGAGCAGTTTTGAAACAGTCTTTCTGTGGAATCTGCAAGTGGATATTTGGATAGCTTGGAGGATTTCGTTGGAAACGGGATTACGTATAAAAAGTAGACAGCAGCATCCTCCGAAACTTCTTTGTGATGTGTGCATTCAAGTCACAGAGTAGAACATTCCCTTTCGTACAGCAGTTTTGAAACACTCTTTCTGTAGTATCTGGAAGTGAACATTAGGACAGCTTTCAGCTCTATGGTGAGAAAGGAAATATCTTCAAATAAAAACTAGACAGAAGCATTCTCATAAACTTGTTTGTGATGTGTGAACTCAGCTAACAGAGGTGGGACTTTCTTTTGATAGAGCAGTTCTGAAAAACACTTTTTGTTGAATCTGCAAGTGGACATTTGGATAGATTTGAAGATTTCGTTGGAAACGGGAATATCTTCATATCAAATCTAGACAGAAGCATTCTCAGAAACGTCGTTGTGATGTTAGCATTCAACTCATAGAGTTGAACATTCCCTTTCAGAGAGCAGCTTTGAAGCACTCTTTTTGTAGTATGTGCAAGTGGACATTTGGAGCGCTTTGAGGCCTACGGGGAAAAAGCAAATATCTTCCCATAACCACTAGACAGGAACATTCTCAGAAACTTCTTTATGACGCATGTACTCAACTAGCAGAGAAGAACTTTCCTTTTGACAGAGCATTTTTGATACATTCTTTTTCTAGTATCTGCAAGTGGATATTTGGATAGCTGTGAAGATTTCGTTGGAAACGGGAATATCTTCCTATAAAGTCTGGACAGAAGCATTCTCAGAAACTGCTCTGTGATGTCTGCATTCAAGTCACAGAGTTGAACATTGCCTTTCATAGAGCAGGTTTGAAACGCTCTTTTTGTAGTATATGGAAGAGGACGTTTTGAACGGTTTGAGGACCATGGTGATAAAGGGAATATCTTCCCCTACAAGCTAGAAAGAAGCATTCTGTGAAACTTGTTTGTGATGTTTGTACTCAACTAACAGAGTTGAACCTTTCTTTTTACAGAGCAGTTTTGAAACACTCTTTTTGTAGAATCTGCGAGGGGATATTTGGATAGATTTCAGGATTTCGTTGGAAACGGGAATATCTTCATATAAAATCTCGACAGAAGCATTCTCAGAAACTTCTTTGTGATATGTGCATTCAAGTCACAGAGTTGAATATTCCCTTTCACAGAGTAGGTTTGAAACACTCTTTTTGTAGTATCTGGAAGTGGACATTTGGAGTGCCTTGACACCTACTGTGAAAAGGGAAATATCTTCCCATAAAAACTAGACAGAAGCAATCTCAGAATCTTCTTTGGGATATATGCACGCAGCTAACAGAGTTGAACCTTTCTATTGACAGAGCAGTTTTGAAACAGTCTTTCTGTGGAATCTGCAAGTGGATATTTGGATAGCTTGGAGGATTTCGTTGGAAACGGGATTATGTATAAAAAGTAGACAGCAGCATACTCAGAAACTTCTTTGTGATGTGTGCATTCAAGTCACAGAGTTGAACATTCCCTTTCGTACAGCAGTTTTGAAACACTCTTTCTGTAGTATCTGGAAGTGAACATTAGGACAGCTTTCAGGTCTATGCTGAGAAAGGAAATATCTTCAAATAAAAACTAGACAGAAGCATTCTCATAAACTTCTTTGTGATGTGTGAACTCAGCTAACCGAGGTGGATCTTTCTTTTGATAGAGCAGTTCTGAAAAACACTTTTTGTTGAATCTGCAAGTGGACATTTGGATAGATTTGAAGATTTCGTTGGAAACGGGAATAACTTCATTTCAAATCTAGACAGAAGCATTCTCAGAAACGTCTTTGTGATGTTTGCATTTAACTCATAGAGTTGAACATTCCCTTTCAGAGACCAGCTTTGAAGCACTCTTTTTGTAGCATGTGCAAGTGGACATTTGGAGCGCCCTGAGGCCTACGGGGAAAAAGCAAATATCTTCCCATAACCACTAGACAGAAACATTCTCAGAAACTTCCTTTATGACGTATGCACTCACCTAACAGAAAAGAACCTTCCTTTTGACAGAGCAGTTTTGATACACTCTTTTTGTAGAATCTGCAAGTGGATATTTGGATAGCTGTGAAGATTTCGTTGGAAACGGGAATATCTTCCTATAAAATCTAGACAGAAGCATTCTCAGAAACTGCTCTGTGATGTCTGCATTCAAGTCACAGAGTTGAACATTGCCTTTCATAGAGCAGGTTTGAAGCGCTCTTTTTGTAGTATATGGAAGTGGATGTTTCGGACGGTTGGAGGCCCATGGTGATAAAGGGAATATCTTCCCCTACAAGCTAGAAAGAAGCATTCTGTGAAACTTGTTTGTGATGTGTGTACTCAACTAACAGAGTTGAACCTTTCTTTTTACAGAGCAGTTTTGAAACACTCTTTTTGTAGAATCTGCGAGGGGATATTTGGATAGATTTCAGGATTTCGTTGGAAACGGGAATATCTTCATATAAAATCTCGACCGAAAGCATTCTCAGAAACTTCTTTGTGATATCTGCATTCAAGTCACAGAGTTGAATATTCCCTTTCACAGAGTAGGTTTGAAACACTCTTTTTGTAGTATCTGGAAGTGGACATTTGGAGCGCCTTGACACCTACGGTGAAAAGGGAAATATCTTCCCATAAAAACTAGACAGAGCAATCTCAGAATCTTCTTTGGGATATATGCACGCAGCTAACAGAGTTGAACCTTTCTATTGACAGAGCAGTTTTGAAACAGTCTTTCTGTGGAATCTGCAAGTGGATATTTGGAGAGCTTGGAGTATTTCGTTGGAAACGGGATTAAGTATAAAAAGTAGACAGCAGCATCCTCAGAAACTTCTTTGTGATGTGTGCATTCAAGTCACAGAGTTGAACATTTCCTTTCGTACAGCAGTTTTGAAACACTCTTTCTGTAGTAACTGGAAGTGAACATTAGGACAGCTTTCAGGTCTATGGTGAGAAAGGAAATATCTTCAAATAAAAACTAGACAGAAGCATTCTCATAAACTTGTTTGTGATGTGTGAACTCAGCTAACAGAGGCGGATCTTTCTTTTGATAGAGCAGTTCGGAAAAACACTTTTTGTTGAATCTGCAAGTGGACATTTGGATAGATTTGAAGATTTCGTTGGAAACGGGAATATCTTCATATCTAATCTAGACAGAAGCATTCTCAGAAACGTCTTTGTGATGTTTGCATTCAACTCATAGAGTTGAACATTCCGTTTCAGAGAGCAGCTTTGAGGCACTCTTTTTGTAGTATGTGCAAGTGGATATTTGGAGCACTCTGAGGCCTACGGTGAAAAAGCAAATATCTTCGAATAACCACTAGACAGAAACATTCTCAGAAACTCCTTTATGACGTATGCACTCACCTAACAGAGAAGAACCTTCCTTTTGACAGAGCAGTTTTGATACACGCTTTTTGTAGAATCTGCAAGTGGATATTTGGATAGCTGTGAAGATTTTGTTGGAAACGGGAATATCTTCCTATAAAATCTAGACAGAAGCATTGTCAGAAACTGCTCTGTGATGTCTGCATTCAAGTCACAGAGTTGAACATTGCCTTTCATAGAGCAGGTTTGAAACGCTCTTTTTGTAGTATATGGAAGTAGACGTTTCGGACGGTTTGAGGCCCATGGTGATAAAGGGAATATCTTCCCCTACAAGCTAGAAAGAAGCATTCTGTGAAACTTGTTTGTGATGTGTGTACTCAACTAACAGAGTTGAACCTTTCTTTTTACAGAGCAGTTTTGAAACACTCTTTTTGTAGAATCTGCGAGGGGATATTTGGATAGATTTCAGGATTTGGTTGGAAACTGGAATATCTTCATATAAAATACTCGACAGAAGCATTCTCAGAAACTTCTTTGTGATATGTGCATTCAAGTCACAGAGTTGAATATTCCCTTTCACAGAGTAGGTTTGAAACACTCTTTTTGTAGCATCTGGAAGTGGACATTTGGAGCGCCTTGACGCCTACGGTGAAAAGGGAAATATCTTCCCATAAAAACTAGACAGAAGCAATCTCAGAATCTTCTTTGGGATATATGCATGCAGCTAACAGAGTTGAACCTTTCTATTGACAGAGCAGTTTTGAAACAGTCTTTCTGTGGAATCTGCCAGTGGATATTTGGATAGCTTGGAGGATTTCGTTGGAAACGGGATTACGTATAAAAAGTAGACAGCAGCATCCTCAGAAACTTCTTTGTGATGTGTGCATTCAAGTCACAGTAGTTGAACATTCCCTTTCGTACAGCAGTTTTGAAACACTCTTTCTGTAGTATCTGGAAGTGAACATTAGGACAGCTTTCAGCTCTATGGTGAGAAAGGAAATATCTTCAAATAAAAACTAGACAGAAGCATTCTCATAAACTTGTTTGTGATGTGTGAACTCAGCTAACAGAGGTGGATCTTTCTTTTGATAGAGCAGTTCTGAAAAACACTTTTTGTTGAATCTGCAAGTGGACATTTGGATACATTTGAAGATTTCGTTGGAAACGGGAATATCTTCATATCAAATCTAGACAGAAGCATTCTCAGAAACGTCTTTCTGATGTTTGCATTCAACCCATAGAGTTGAACATTCCGTTTCAGAGAGCAGCTTTGAAGCGCTCTTTTTGTAGTATGTGCAAGGGGATATTTTGAGCGCTCTGAGGCCTAAGGTGAAAAAGCAAGTATCTTCCCATAACCACTAGACAGAAACATTTTCAGAAACTCCTTTATGACGTATGCACTCACCTAACAGAGAAGAACCTTCCTTTTGACAGAGCAGTTTTGATACACTCTTTTTGTAGAATCTGCAAGTGGATATTTGGATAGCTGTGAAGATTTCGTTGGAAACCGGAATATCTTCCTATAAAATCTAGACAGAAGCATTCTCAGAAACTGCTCTATGATGTCTGCATTCAAGTCACAGAGTTGAACATTGCCTTTCATGGAGCAGGTTTGAAACGCTCTTTTTGTAGTATATGGAAGTGGACGTTTCGGACGGTTTGAGGCACATGGTGATAAAGGGAATATCTTCCCCTACGAGCTAGAAAGAAGCATTCTGTGAAACTTGTTTGTGATGTGTGTACTCAACTAACAGAGTTGAACCTTTCTTTTTACAGAGCAGTTTTGAAACACTCTTTTTGTAGAATCTGCAAGGCGATATTTGGATAGATTTCAGGATTTCGTTGGAAACGGGAATATCTTCATATAAAATCTCGACAGAAGCATTCTCAGAAACTTCTTTGTGATATGTGCATTCAAGTCACAGAGTTGAATATTCCCTTTCACAGAGTAGGTTAGAAACACTCTTTTTGTAGTATCTGGAAGTGGACATTTGGAGCGCCTTGACACCTACGGTGAAAAGGGAAATATCTTCCCATAAAAACTAGACAGAAGCAATCTCAGAATCTTCTTTGGGATATATGCACGCAGCTAACAGAGTTGAACCTTTCTATTGACAGAGCAGTTTTGAAACAGTCTTTCTGTGGAATCTGCAAGTGGTATTTGGATAGCTTGGAGGATTTCGTTGGAAACGGGATTACGTATAAAAAGTAGACAGCAGCATCCTCAGAAACTTCCTTGTGATGCGTGCATTCAAGTCACAGAGTTGAATATTCCCTTTCGTACAGCAGTTTTGAAACACTCTTTCTGTAGTATCTGGAAGTGAACTTTAGGAGAGTTTTCAGGTCTATAGTGAGAAAGGATATATCTTCAAATAAAAACTAGACAGAAAGCATTCTCATAAACTTGTTTGTGATGTCTGAACTCAGCTAACAGAGGTGGATCTTTCTTTTGATAGAGCAGTTCTGAAAAACACTTTTTGTTGAATCTGCAAGTGGACATTTGGATAGATTTGAAGATTTCGTTGGAAACGGGAAGATCTTCATATCAAATCTAGACAGAAGCATTCTCGGAAAACGTCTTTGTGATGTTTGCATTCAACTCATAGAGTTGAACATTCCGTTTCAGAGAGCAGCTTTGAAGCACTCTTTTTGTAGTATATGCAAGTGGATATTTGGAGCGCTCTGAGGCCTACGGTGAAAAAGCAAATATCTTCCCATAACCACTAGACAGAAACATTCTCAGAAACTCCTTTATGACGTATGCACTCACCTAACAGAGAAGAACCTTCCTTTTGACAGAGCAGTTTTGATACACTCTTTTTGTAGAATCTGCAAGTGGATAATTGGATAGCTGTGAAGATTTCGTTGGAAACGGGAATATCTTCCTATAAAATCCAGACAGAAGCATTCTCAGAAACTGCTCTGTGATGTCTGCATTGAAGTCACGGAGTTGAACATTGCCTTTCATAGAGCAGGTTTGAAACGCTCTTTTTGTAGTATATGGAAGTGGACGTTTCGGACGGTTTGAGGCCCATGGTGATAAAGGGAATATCTTCCCCTATAAGCTAGAAAGAAGCATTCTGTGAAACTTGTTTGTGATGTTTGTACTCAACTAACAGAGTTGAACCTTTCTTTTTACAGAGCAGTTTTGAAACACTCTTTTTGTAGAATCTGCGAGGGGATATTTGGATACATTTCAGGATTTCGTTGGAAATGGGAATATCTTCATAGAAAATCTCGACAAAAGCATTCTCAGAAACTTCTTTGTGATATGTGCTTTCAAGTCACAGAGTTGAATATTCCCTTTCACAGAGTAGGTTTGAAACAGTCTTTTTGTAGTATCTGGAAGTGGACATTTGGAGCGCCTTGACGCCTACGGTGAAAAGGGAAATATCTTCCCATAAAAACTAGACAGAAGCAATCTCAGAATCTTCTTTGGGTTATATGCACGCAGCTAACAGAGTTGAACCTTTCTATGGACAGAGGAGTTTTGAAACAGTCTTTCTGTGGAATCTGCAAGTGGATATTTGGATAGCTTGGAGGATTTCGTTGGAAACGGGATTACGTATAAAAAGTAGACAGCAGCATCCTCAGAAACTTCTTTGTGATGTGTGCATTCAAGTCACAGAGTTGAACATTCCCTTTCGTACAGCAGTTTTGAAACAGTCTTTCTGTAGTAACTGGAAGTGAACATTAGGACAGCTTTCAGCTCTATGGTGAGAAAGGAAATATCTTCAAATAAAAACTAGACAGAAGCATTCTCATAAACTTGTTTGTGATGTGTGAACTCAGCTAACAGAGGTTGATCTTTCTTTTGATAGAGCAGTTCTGAAAAACACTTTTTGTTGAATCTGCAAGTGGACATTTGGATAGATTTGAAGATTTCGTTGGAAACGGGAATATCTTCATATCAAGTCTAGACAGAAGCATTCTCAGAAACGTCTTTGTGATGTTTGCATTCAACTCATAGAGTTGAACATTCCGTTTCAGAGAGCAGATTTGAAGCACTCTTTTTGTAGTATGTGCAAGTGGATATTTGGAGCGCTCTGAGGCCTACGGTGAAAAAGCAAATATCTTCCCATAACCACTAGACAGAAACATTCTCAGAAACTCCTTTATGACGTATGCACTCACCTAACAGAGAAGAACCTTCCTTTTGACAGAGCAGTTTTCATACACTCTTTTTGTAGAATCTGCAAGTGGATATTTGGATAGCTGTGAAGATTTCGTTGGAAACGGGAATATCTTCCTATAAAATCTAGACAGAAGCATTCTCAGAAACTGCTCTGTGATGTCTGCATTCAAGTCACAGAGTTGAACATTGCCTTTCATAGAGCAGGTTTCAAACACTCTTTTTTTAGTATATGGAAGTGGACGATTCGGACGGTTTGAGGACCATGGTGATAAAGGAAATATCTTCCCCTACAAGATAGAAAGAAGCATTCTGTGAAACTTGTTTGTGATGTGTGTACTCAACTAACAGAGTTGAACCTTTCTTTTTACAGAGCAGTTTTGAAACACTCTTTTTGTAGAATCTGCGAGGGGATATTTGGATACATTTCAGCATTTCGTTGGAAACGGGAATGTCTTCATATAAAATATCGACAGAAGCATTCTCAGAAACTTCTTTGTGATATCTGCATTCAAGTCACAGAGTTGAATATTCCCTTTCACAGAGTAGGTTTGAAACACTCATTTTGTAGTATCTGGAAGTGGACATTTTGAGCGCCTTGACACCTACGGTAAAAAGGGAAATATCTTCCCATAAAAACTAGACAGAAGCAATCTCAGAATCTTCTTTGGGATATATGCACGCAGCTAACAGAGTTGAACCTTTCTATTGACAGAGCAGTTTTGAAACAGTCTTTCTGTGGAATCTGCAAGTGGATATTTGGATAGCTTGGAGGATTTCGTTGGAAACGGGATTAGGTATAAAAAGTAGACAGCCGCATCCTCAGAAACTTCTTTGTGATGTGTGCATTCAAGTCACAGTGTTGAACATTCCCTTTCGTACAGCAGTTTTGAAACACTCTTTCTGTAGTATCTGGAAGTGAACATTAGGACAGCTTTCAGGTCGATGGTGAGAAAGGAAATATCTTCAAATAAAAACTAAACAGAAGCATTCTCATAAACTTGTTTGTGATGTCTGAACTCAGCTAACAGAGGTGGATCTTTCTTTTGATAGAGCAGTTCTGAAAAACACTTTCTGTTGAATCTGCAAGTGGACATTTGGATAGATTTGAAGATTTCGTTGGAAACGGGAAGATCTTCATATCAAATACTAGACAGAAGCATTCTCAGAAACGTCTTTGTGATGTTTGCATTCAACTCCTAGAGTTGAACATTCCGTTTCAGAGAGCAGCTTTGAAGCACTCTTTTTGTAGTATGTGCAACTGGATATTTGGAGCGCTCTGAGGCCTACGGTGAAAAAGCAAATATCTTCCCATAACCACTAGACAGAAACATTTTCAGAAACTCCTTTATGACGTATGCACTCACCTAACAGAGAAGAACCTTCCTTTTGACAGAGCAGTTTTGATACACTCTTTTTGTAGTATCTGCAGGTGGATATTTGGATAGCTGTGAAGATTTCGTTGGAAACCGGAATATCTTCCTATAAAATCTAGACAGAAGCATTCTCAGAAACTGCTGTGTGATGTCTGCATTCAAGTCACAGAGTTGAACATTGCCTTTCACAGAGCAGGTTTGAAATGCTCTTTTTGTAGTATATGGAAGTGGACGTTTCAGACGGTTTGAGGCCCATGGTGAAAAAGGGAATATCTTCCCCTACAAGCTAGAAAGAAGCATTCTGTGAAACTTGTTTGTGATGTGTGTACTCAAGTAACAGAGTTCAACCTTTCTTTTTACAGAGCAGTTTTGAAACACTCTTTTTGTAGAATCTGTGAGGGGATATTTGGATAGATTTCAGGATTTCGTTGGAAACGAGAATATCTTCATATAAAATCTCGACAGAAGCATTCTCAGAAGCTTCTTTGTGATATGTGCATTCAAGTCACAGAGTTGAATATTCCCTTTCACAGAGTAGGTTTGAAACACTCTTTTTGTAGTATCTGGAAGTGGACATTTTGAGCACCTTGACGCCTACGGTGAAAAGGGAAATATCTTCTCATAAAAAGTAGACAGAAGCAATCTCAGAATCTTCTTTGGGATATATGCATGCAGCTAACAGAGTTGAACCTTTCTATTGACAGCAGTTTTGAAACAGTCTTTCTGTGGAATCTGCAAGTGGATATTTGGATAGCTTGGAGGATTTCGTTGGAAACGGGATTACGTATAAAAAGTAGACAGCAGCATCCTCAGAAACTTCTTTGTGATGTGTGCATTCAAGTCACAGAGTTGAATATTCCCTTTCGTACAGCAGTTTTGAAACACTCTTTCTGTAGCATCTGGAAGTGAACATTAGGACAGCTTTCAGGTCTATGGTGAGAAAGGAAATATCTTCAAATAAAAACTATACCGAAGCATTCTCATAAACTTGTTTGTGATGTGTGAACTCAGCTAACAGAGGTGGATCTTTCTTTTGATAGAGCAGTTCGGAAAAACACTTTTTGTTGAATCTGCAAGTGGACATTTGGATAGATTTGAAGATTTCGTTGGAAACGGGAATATCTTTATATCAAATCTAGACAGAAGCATTCTCAGAAACGTCTTTGTGATGTTTGCATTCAACTCATAGAGTTGAACATTCCGTTTCAGAGAGCAGCTTTGAGGCACTCTTTTTGTAGTATGTGCAAGGGGATATTTGGAGTGCTCTGAGGCCTCAGGTGAAAAAGCAAATATCTTCCCATAACCACTAGACAGAAACTTTCTCAGAAACTCCTTTATGACGTATGCACTCACCTAACAGAGAAGAACCTTCCTTTTGACAGAGCAGTTTTGATACACTCTTTTTGTAGAATCTGCAAGTGGATATTTGGATACCTGTGAAGATTTCGTTGGAAACGGGAATATCTTCCTATAAAATCTAGACAGAAGCATTCTCAGAAACTGCTCTGTGATGTCTGCATTCAAGTCACAGAGTTGAACATTGCCTTTCATAGAGCAGGTTTGAAACGCTCTTTTTGTAGTATATGGAAGTAGACGTTTCGTACGGTTTGAGGCCCATGGTGATAAAGGGAATATCTTCCCCTACAAGCTAGAAAGAAGCATTCTGTGAAACTTGTTTCTGATGTGTGTACTCAACTAACAGAGTTGAACCTTTCTTTTTACAGAGCAGTTTTGAAACACTCTTTTTGTAGAATCTGCGAGGGGATATTTGGATAGATTTCAGGATTTCGTTGGAAACGGGAGTATCTTCATATAAAATCTCGACAGAAGCGTTCTGAGAAACTTCTTGGTGATGTTTGCATTCAAGTCACAGAATTGAACATTCCCTTTAATAGAACAGGTTTGAAACACTCTTTTTGTAGTATCTGGAAGTGGACATTTGGAGCGCCTTGACGCCTACGGTGAAAAGGGAAATATCTTCCCATCAAAACTAGACAGAAGCAATCTCAGAATCTTCTTTGGGATATATGCATGCAGCTAACAGAGTTGAACCTTTCTATTGACAGAGCAGTTTTGAAACAGTCTTTCTGTGGAATCTGCAAGTGGATATTTGGATAGCTTGGAGGATTTCGTTGGAAACGGGATTAAGTATAAAAAGTAGACAGCAGCATCCTCAGAAACTTCTTTGTGATGTGTGCATTCAAGTCACAGAGTTGAACATTCCCTTTCGTACAGCAGTTTTGAAACACTCTTTCTGTAGTATCTGGAAGTGAACATTAGGACAGCTTTCAGGTCTATGGTGAGAAAGGAAATATTTTCAAATAAAAACTAGACAGAAGCATTCTCATAAACTTGTTTGTGATGTGTGAACTCAGCTAACAGAGGTGGATCTTTCTTTTGATAGAGCAGTTCTGAAAAACACTTTTTGTAGAATCTGCAAGTGGACATTTGGATAGATTTGAAGATTTCGTTGGAAACGGGAATATCTTCATATCAAATCTAGACAGAAGCATTCTCAGAAACGTCTTTGTGATGTTTGCATTCAACTCATAGAGTTGAACTTTCCGTTTCAGAGAGCAGCTTTGAAGCACTCTTTTTGTAGTATGTGCAAGTGGACATTTGGAGCGCCCTGAGGCCTACGGGGAAAAAGCAAATATCTTCCCATAACCACTAGACAGAAACATTCTCAGAAACTCCTTTACGACGTATGCACTCACCCTAACAGAGAAGAACCTTCCTTTTGACAGAGCAGTTTTGATACACTCTTTTTGTAGAATCTGCAAGTGGATATTTGGATAGCTGTGAAGATTTCGTTGGAAACGGGAATATCTTCCTATAAAATCTAGACAGAAGCATTCTCAGAAACTGCTCTGTGATGTCTGCTTTCAAGTCACAGAGTTGAACATTGCCTTTCATAGAGCAGGTTTGAAACGCTCTTTTTGTAGTATATGGAAGTGGATGTTTCGGACGGTTGGAGGCCCATGGTGATAAAGGGAATATCTTCCCCTACAAGCTAGAAAGAAGCATTCTGTGAAACTTGTTTGTGATGTCTGTACTCAACTAACAGAGTTGAACCTTTCTTTTTACAGAGCAGTTTTGAAACACTCTTTTTGTAGAATCTGCGAGGGGATATTTGGATACATTTCAGGATTTCGTTGGAAACGGGAATATCTTCATATAAAATCTCGACAGAAGCATTCTCAGAAACTTCTTGTGATATCTGCATTCAAGTCACAGAGTTGAATATTCCCTTTCACAGAGTAGGTTTGAAACACTCTTTTTGTAGTATCTGGAAGTGGACATTTGGAGCGCCTTGACCCCTACGGTGAAAAGGGAAATATCTTCCCATAAAAACTAGACAGAAGCAATCTCAGAATCTTCTTTGGGATATATGCACGCAGCTAACAGAGTTGAACCTTTCTATTGACAGATCAGTTTTGAAACAGTCTTTCTGTGGAATCTGCAAGTGGATATTTGGATAGCTTGGAGGATTTCGTTGGAAACGGGATTACGTATAAAAAGTAGACAGCAGCATCCTCAGAAACTTCTTTGTGATGTGTGCATTCAAGTCACAGAGTTGAACATTCCCTTTCGTACAGCAGTTTTGAAACACTCTTTCTGCAGTATCTGGAAGTGAACATTAGGACAGCTTTCAGGTCTATGGTGAGAAAGGAAATATCTTCAAATAAAAACTAGACAGAAGCATTCTCATAAACTTGTTTGTGATGTGTGAACTCAGCTAACAGAGGTGGATCTTTCTTTTGATAGAGCAGTTCTGAAAAACACTTTTTGTTGAATCTGCAAGTGGACATTTGGACAGATTTGAAGATTTCGTTGGAAACGGGAATACCTTCATATCAAATCTAGACAGAAGCATTCTCAGAAACGTCTTTGCGATGTTTGCATTCAACTCATAGAGTTGAACATTCCCTTTCAGAGAGCAGCTGTGAGGCACTCTTTTTGTAGTATGTGCAAGTGGATATTTGGAGCGCTCTGAGGCCTACGGTGAAAAAGCAAATATCTTCCCATAACCACTAGACAGAAACATTCTCAGAAACTCCTTTATGACTTATGCACTCACCTAACAGAGAAGAACCTTCCTTTTGACAGAGCAGTTTTGATACACTCTTTTTGTAGAATCTGCAAGTGGATATTGGGGTAGCTGTGAAGATTTCGTTGGAAACGGGAATATCTTCCTATAAAATCTAGACAGAAGCATTCTCAGAAACTGCTCTGTGATGTCTGCATTCAAGTCACAGTGTTGAACATTGCCTTTCCTAGAGCAGTTTAGAAACGCTCTTTTTGTAGTATATGGAAGTGGACGTTTCGGACGGTTTGAGGACCATGGTGATAAAGGGAATATCTTCCCCTACAAGCTAGAAAGAAGCATTCTGTGAAACTTGTTTGTGATGTGTGTACTCAACTAACAGAGTTGAACCTTTCTTTTTACAGAGCAGTTTTGAAACACGCTTTTTGTAGAATCTGCGAGGGGATATTTGGATAGATTTCAGGATTTCGTTGGGAACGGGAATATCTTCATATAAAATCTCGACAGAAGCATTCTCAGAAACTTCTTTGTGATATCTGCATTCAAGTCACAGAGTTGAATATTCCCTTTCACAGAGTAGGTTTGAAACACTCTTTTTGTAGTATCTGGAAGTGGACATTTGGAGCGCCTTAACGCCTACGGTGAAAAGGGAAATATCTTCCCATAAAAACTAGACAGAAGCAATCTCAGAATCTTCTTTGGGATATATGCACGCAGCTAACAGAGTTGAACCTTTCTATTGACAGAGCAGTTTTGAAACAGTCTTTCCGTGGAATCTGCAAGTGGATATTTGGATAGCTTGGAAGATTTCGTTGGAAACGGGATTACGTATCAAATGTAGACAGCAGCATCCTCAGAAACTTCCTTGTGATGTGTGCATTCAAGACACACAGTTGAACATTCCCTTTCGTACAGCAGTTTTGAAACACTCTTTCTGTAGTATCTGGAAGTGAACATTAGGACAGCTTTCAGGTCTATCGTGAGTAAGGAAATATCTTCAAATAAAAACTAGACAGAAGCATTCTCATAAACTTGTTTGTGATGTGTGAACTCAGCTAACAGAGGTGGATCTTTCTATTGATAGAGCAGTTCTGAAAAACACTTTTTGTTGAATCTGCAAGTGGACATTTGGATAGATTTGAAGATTTCGTTGGAAACGGGAATATCTTCATATCAAATCTAGACAGAAGCATTCTCAGAAACGTCTTTGTGATGTTTGCATTCAACTCATAGAGTTGAACATTCCGTTTCAGAGAGCAGCTTTGAAGCACTCTTTTTGTAGTATGTGCAAGTGGATATTTGGAGCGCTCTTAGGCCTACGGTGAAAAAGCAAATATCTTCCCATAACCACTAGACAGAAACATTCTCAGAAACTCCTTTATGACGTATGTACTCAACTAACAGAGAAGAACCTTCCTTTAGACAGAGCAGTTTTGATACACTCTTTTTGTAGAATCTGCAAGTGGATATTTGGATAGCTGTGAAGATTTCGTTGGAAACGGGAATATCTTCCTATAAAATCTAGACAGAAACATTCTCAGGAACTGCTCTGTGATGTCTGCATTCAAGTCACAGAGTTGAACATTGCCTTTCCTAGAGCAAATTTGAAACGCTCTTTTTGTAGTATATGGAAGTGGACGTTTCGGACGGTTTGAGACCCATGGTGATAAAGGGAATATCTTCCCCTACAAGCTAGAAAGAAGCATTCTGTGAAACTTGTTTGTGATGTGTGTACTCAACTAACAGAGTTGAACCTCTCTTTTTACAGAGCAGTTTTGAAACACTCTTTTTGTAGAATCTGCGAGGGGATATTTGGATAGATTTCAGGATTTCGTTGGAAACGGGAATATCTTTATATAAAATCTCGACAGAAGCATTCTCAGAAACTTCTTTGTGATATCTACATTCAAGTCACAGAGTTGAATATTCCCTTTCACAGAGTAGGTTTGAAACACTCTTTTTGTAGTATCTGGAAGTGGACATTTGGAGCGCCTTGACACCTACGGTGAAAAGGGAAATATCTTCCCATAAAAACTAGACAGAAGCAATCTCAGAATCTTCTTTGGGATATATCGCACGCAGCTAACAGAGTTGAACCTTTCTATTGACAGAGCAGTTTTGAAACAGTCTTTCTGTGGAATCTGCAAGTGGATATTTGGATAGCTTGGAGGATTTCTTTGGAAACGGGATTACGTATAAAAAGTAGACAGCAGCATCCTCAGAAACTTCTTTGTGATGTGTGCATTCAAGTCACAGAGTTGAACATTCCCTTTCGTACAGCAGTTTTGAAACACTCTTTCTGTAGTATCTGGAAGTGAACATTAGGACAGCTTTCAGGTCTATGGTGAGAAAGGAAATATCTTCAAATAAAAACTTGACAGAAGCATTTTCATAAACTTGTTTTTGATGTGTGAACTCAGCTAACAGAGGTGGATCTTTCTTTTGATAGAGCAGTTCTGAAAAACACTTTTTGTTGAATCTGCAAGTGGACATTTGGATAGATTTGAAGATTTCGTTGGAAACGGGAATATCTTCCTATCAAATCTAGACAGAAGCATTCTCAGAAACGTCTTTGTGATGTTTGCATTCAACTCATAGAGTTGAACATTCCCTTTCAGAGAGCAGCTTTGAAACACTCTTTTTGTAGTATGTGCAAGTGGATATTTGGAGCGCTCTGAGGCCTACGGTGAAAAAGCAAATATCTTCCCATAACCACTAGACAGAAACATTCTCAGAAACTCCTTTATGACGTATGCACTCACCTAACAGAGAAGAACCTTCCATTTGACAGAGCAGTTATGATACACTCTTTTTGTAGAATCTGCAAGTGGATATTTGGATAGCTGTGAAGATTTCGCTGGAAACGGGAATATCTTCCTATAAAATCTAGACAGAAGCATTCTCAGAAGCTGCTCTGTGATGTCTGCATTCAAGTCACAGAGTTGAACATTGCCTTTCATAGAGCAGGTTTGAAACGCTCTTTTTGTAGTATATGGAAGTGGACTTTTCGGACGGTTTGAGGCCCATGGTGATAAAGGGAATATCTTCCCCTACAAGCTAGAAAGAAGCATTCTGTGAAACTTGTTTGTGATGTGTGTACTCAACTAACAGAGTTGAACCTTTCTTTTCACAGAGCAGTTTTGAAACACTCTTTTTGTAGAATCTGCGAGGGGATATTTGGATAGATTTCAGGATTTCGTTGGAAACGGGTATATCTTCATATAAAATCTCGACAGAAGCATTCTCAGAAACTGCTCTGTGATATCTGCATTCAAGTCACAGAGTTGAATATTCCCTTTCACAGAGTAGGTTTGAAACACTCTTTTTGTAGTATCTGGAAGTGGACATTTGGAGCGCCTTGACGTCTACTGTGAAAAGGGAAATATCTTCCCATCAAATCTAGACAGAAGCAATCTCAGAATCTTCTTTGGGATATATGCACGCAGCTTACAGAGTTGAACCTTTCTATTGACAGAGCAGTTTTGAAACAGTCTTTTTGAGGAATCTGCAAGTGGATATTTGGATAGCTTGGAGGATTTCGTTGGAAACGGTATTATGTATAAAAAGTAGACAGCAGTATTCTCAGAAACTCCTTTGTGATGTGTGAATTCAAGTCACAGAGTTCAACATTCCCTTTCGCAGAGCAGGTTTGAACCACTCTTTCTCTAGTATCTGGAAGTGAACATTACGAGAGCTTTCAGGTCCATGGTGAGAAAGGAAATATCTTCAAATAAAAACTAGACAGAAGCATTCTCATAAACTTGTTTGTGATGTCTGAACTCAGCTAACAGAGGTGGATCTTTCTTTTGATACAGCAGTTCTGAAAAACACTTTTTGTTGAATCTGCAAGTGGACATTTGGATAGATTTGAAGATTTCGTTGGAAACGGGAATATCTTCATATCAAATCTAGACAGAAGCATTCTCAGAAACGTCTTTGCGATGTTTGCATTCAACTCATAGAGTTGAACATTCCGTTTCAGAGAGCAGTTTTGAGGCACTCTTTTTGTAGTATGTGCAAGTGGATATTTGGAGCGCTCTGAGGCCTACGGTGAAAAAGCAAATATCTTCCCATAACCACTAGACAGAAACATTCTCAGAAACTCCTTTATGACGTATGCACTCACCTAACAGAAAAGAACCTTCCTTTTGACAGAGCAGTTTTGATACACTCTTTTGGTAGAATCTGCAAGTGGATATTTGGATAGCTGTGAAGATTTCGTTGGAAACGGGAATATCTTCCTATAAAATCTAGACAGAAGCATTCTCAGAAACTGCTCTGTGATGTCTGCATTCAAGTCACAGAGTTGAACATTGCCTTTCATAGAGGAGGTTTGAAACGCTCTTTTTGTAGTATATGGAAGTGGACGTTTCGGACGGTTTGAGGCCCATGGTAATAAAGGGAATATCTTCCCCTACAAGCTAGAAAGAAGCATTCTGTGAAACTTGTTTGTGATGTGTGTACTCAACTAACAGAGTTGAACCTTTCTTTTTACAGAGCAGTTTTGAAACACTCTTTTTGTAGAATCTGCGAGGGCATATTTGGATAGATTTCAGGATTTCGTTGGAAACGGGAATATCTTCATATAAAATCTCGACAGAAGCATTCTCAGAAACTTCTTTGTGATATGTGCATTCAAGTCACAGAGTTGAATATTCCCTTTCACAGAGTAGGTTTGAAACACTCTTTTTGTAGTATCTGGAAGTGGACATTTGGAGCGCCTTCACACCTACGGTGAAAAGGGAAATATCTTCCCATAAAAACTAGACAGAAGCAATCTCAGAATCTTCTTTGGGATATATGCACGCAGCTAACGGAGTTGAACCTTTCTATTGACAGAGGAGTTTTGAAACAGTCTTTCTGTGGAATCTGCAAGTGGATATTTGGATAGCTTGGAGGATTTCGTTGGAAACGGGATTACGTATAAAAAGTAGACAGCAGCATCCTCAGAAACTTTTTTGTGATGTGTGCATTCAAGTCACAGAGTTGAACATTCCCTTTTGTACAGCAGTTTTGAAACACTCTTTCTGTAGTATCTGGAAGTGAACATTAGGACAGCTTTCAGGTCTATGGTGAGAAAGGAAATATCTTCAAATAAAAACTAGACAGAAGCATTCTCATAAACTTGTTTGTGATGTGTGAACTCAGCAAACAGCGGTGGATCTTTCTTTTGATAGAGCAGTTCTGAAAAACACTTTTTGTTGAATCTGCAAGTGGACATTTGGATAGTTTTGAAGATTTCCTTGGAAAAAGGAATATCTTCATATCAAATCTAGACAGAAGCATTCTCAGAAACGTCTTTGCGATGTTTGCATTCAACTCATAGAGTTGCACATTCCGTTTCAGAGAGCAGCTTTGAGACACTCTTTTTGTAGTATGTGCAAGTGGATATTTGGAGCGCTCTGAGGCCTACGGTGAAAAAGCAAATATCTTCCCATAACCACTAGACAGAAACATTCTCAGAAACTCCTTTACGACGTATGCACTCACCTAACAGAGAAGAACCTTCCTTTTGACAGAGCAGTTTTGATACACTCTTTTTGTAGAATCTGCAAGTGGATATTTGGATAGCTGTGAAGATTTTGTTGGAAACGGGAATATCTTCCTATAAAATCTAGACAGAAGCATTCTCAGAAACTGCTCTGTGATGTCTGCATTCAAGTCACAGAGTTGAACATTGCCTTTCATAGAGCAGGTTTGAAATGCTCTTTTTGCTGTATATGGAAGTGGACGTTTCAGACGGTTTGAGGCCCATGGTGATAAAGGGAATATCTTCCCCTACAAGCTAGAAAGAAGCATTCTGTGAAACTTGTTTGTGATGTGTGCACTCAACTAACAGAGTTGAACCTTTCTTTTTACAGAGCAGTTTTGAAACACTCTTTTTGTAGAATCTGCGAGGGGATATTTGGATAGATTTCAGGATTTCGTTGGAAACGGGAATATCTTCATATAAAATCTCGACAGAAGCATTCTCAGAAACTTCTTTGTGATATCTGCATTCAAGTCACAGAGTTGAATATTCCCTTTCACAGAGTAGGTTTGAAACACTCTTTTTGTAATATCTGGAAGTGGACATTAGGAGCGCCTTGACGCCTACGGTGAAAAGGGAAATATCTTCCCATAAAAATTAGACAGAAGCAATCTCAGAATCTTCTTTGGGATATATGCACGCAGCTTACAGAGTTGAACCTTTCTATTGACAGAGCAGTTTTGAAACAGTCTTTCTGTGGAATCTGCAAGTGGATATTTGGATAGCTTGGAGGATTTCGTTGGAAACGGGATTACGTATAAAAAGTAGACAGCCGCATCCTCAGAAACTTCTCTGTGATGTGTGCATTCAAGTCACAGAATTGAACATTCCCTTTCGTACAGCAGTTTTGAAACACTTTTTCTGTAGCATCTGGAAGAGAACATTAGGACAGCTTTCAGGTCTATGGTGAGAAAGGAAATATCTTCAAATAAAAACTAGACAGAAACATTCTCATAAACTTGTTTGTCATGTGTGAACTCAGCTAACAGACGTGGATCTTTCTTTTGATACAGCAGTTTTGAAAAACACTTTTTGTTGAATCTGCAAGTGGACATTTGGATAGATTTGAAGATTTCGTTGGAAACGGGAATATCTTCATATCAAATCTAGACAGAAGCATTCTCAGAAACGTCTTTGTGATGTTTGCATTCAACTCATAGATTTGAACATTCCGTTTCAGAGAGCAGCTTTGAAGCACTCTTTTTGTAGTATGTGCAAGGGGATATTTGGAGCGCTCTGAGGCCTACGGTGAAAAAGCAAATATCTTCCCATAACCACTAGACAGAAACATTCTCAGAAACTCCTTTATGACGTATGCACTCACCTAACAGAGAAGAACCTTCCTTTTGACAGAGCAGTTTTGATACACTCTTTTTGTAGAATCTGCAAGTGGATATTTGGATAGCTGTGAAGATTTCTTTGGAAACGGGAATATCTTCCTATAAAGTATAGACAGAAGCATTCTCAGAAACTGCTCTGTGATGTCTGCATTCAAGTCACAGAGTTGAACATTGCCTTTCCTAGAGCAGGTTTGAAACGCTCTTTTTGTAGTATATGGAAGTGGACGTTTCAGACGGTTTGAGGCCCATGGTGATAAAGGGAATATCTTCCCCTACAAGCTAGAAAGAAGCATTCTGTGAAACTTGTTTGTGATGTGTGTACTCAACTAACAGAGTTGAACCTTTCTTTTCACAGAGCAGTTTTGAAACACTCTTTTTGTAGAATCTGTGAGGGGATATTTGGATAGATTTCAGGATTTCGTTGGAAACGGGAATATCTTCATACAAAATCTCGACAGAAGCATTCTCAGAAACTTCCTTCTGATATGTGCATTCAAGTCACAGAGTTGAATATTCCCTTTCACAGAGTAGGTTTGAAACACTCTTTTTGTAGTATCTGGAAGTGGTCATTTGGAGCGCCTTGACGCCCACGGTGAAAAGGGAAATATCTTCCCATAAAAACTAGACAGAAGCAATCTCAGAATCTTCTTTGGGATATATGCACGCAGCTAACAGAGTTGAACCTTTCTATTGACAGAGCAGTTTTGAAACAGTCTTTCTGTGGAATCTGCAAGTGGATATTTGGATAGATTGCAGGATTTCGTTGGAAACGGGATTACGTATAAAAAGTAGACAGCAGCATCCTCAGAAACTTCTTTGTGATGTGTGCATTCAAGTCACAGAGTTGAACATTCCCTTTCGTACAGCAGTTTTGAAACACTCTTTCTGTAGCATCTGGAAGTGAACATTAGGACAGCTTTCAGGTCTATGGTGAGAAAGGAAATATCTTCAAATAAAAACTAGACACAAGCATTCTCATCAACTTGTTTGTGATGTGTGAACTCAGCTAACAGAGGTGGATCTTTCTTTTGATAGAGCAGTTCTGAAAAACACTTTTTGTTGAATCTGCAAGTGGACATTTGGATAGATTTGAAGATTTCGTTGGAAACGGGAATATCTTCATATCAAGTCTAGACAGAAGCATTCTCAGAAACGTCTTTGTGATGTTTGCATTCAACTCATAGAGTTGAACATTCCGTTTCAGAGAGCAGCTTTGAAGCACTCTTTTTGTAGTATGTGCAAGTGGATATTTGGAGCGCTGTGAGGCCTACGGTGAAAAAGCAAATATCTTCCCATAGCCACTAGACAGATAAACATTCTCAGAAACTCCTTTATGACGTATGCACTCACCTAACAGAGAAGAACCTTCCTTTTGACAGAGCAGTTTTGATACACTCTTTTTGTAGAATCTGCAAGTGGATATTTGGATAGCTGTGAAGATTTCGTTGGAAACGGGAATATCTTCCTATAAAATCTAGACAGAAGCATTCTCAGAAACTACTCTGTGATGTCTGCATTCAAGTCACAGAGTTGAACATTGCCTTTCATAGAGCAGGTTTGAAACGCTCTTTTTGTAGTATATGGAAGTGAACGTTTCGGACGGTTTGAGGCCCATGGTGATAAAGGGAATATCTTCCCCTACAAGCTAGAAAGAAGCATTCTGTGAAACTTGTTTGTGATGTGTGTACTCAACTAACAGAGTTGAACCTTTCTTTTTACAGAGCAGTTTTGAAACACTCTTTTTGTAGAATATGCGAGGGGATATTTGGATAGATTTCAGGATTTCTTTGGAAACGGGAATATCTTCATATAAAATCTCGACAGAAGCATTCTCAGAAACTTCTTTGTGATATCTGCATTCAAGTCACAGAGTTGAATATTCCCTTTCACAGAGTAGGTTTGAAACACTCTTTTTGTAGTATCTGGAAGTGGACATTTGGAGCGCCTTGACGCCTATGGTGAAAAGGGAAATATCTTCTCATAAAAAGTAGACACAAGCAATCTCAGAATCTTCTTTGGGATATATGCACGCTGCTAACAGAGTTGAACCTTTCTATTGACAGAGCAGTTTTGAAACAGTCTTTCTGTGGAATCTGCAAGTGGATATTTGGATAGCTTGGAGGATTTCGTTGGAAACGGGATTACGTATAAAAAGTAGACAGCAGCATCCTCCGAAACTTCTTTGTGATGTGTGCATTCAAGTCACAGTAGTTGAACATTCCCTTTCGTACAGCAGTTTTGAAACACTCTTTCTGTAGTATCTGGAAGTGAACATTAGGACAGCTTTCAGCTCTATGGTGAGAAAGGAAATATCTTCAAATAAAAACTAGACAGAAGCATTCTCATAAACTTGTTTGTGATGTGTGAACTCAGCTAACAGAGGTGGATCTTTCGATAGAGCAGTTCTGAAAAACACTTTTTGTTGAATCTGCAAGTGGACATTTGGAAAGATTTGAAGATTTCGTTGGAAACGGGAATATGTTCATATCAAATCTAGACAGAAGCATTCTCAGAGACGTCTTTGTGATGTTTGCATTCAACTCATAGAGTTGAACATTCCCTTTCAGAGAGCAGCTTTGAAGCACTCTTTTTGTAGCATGTGCAAGTGGACATTTGGAGCACCCTGAGGCCTACGGTGAAAAAGCAAATATCTTCCCATAACCACTAGACAGAAACATTCTCAGAAACTCCTTTATGACGTATGCCCTCACCTAACAGAAAAGAACCTTCCTTTTGACAGAGCAGTTTTGATACACTCTTTTTGTAGAATCTGCAAGTGGATATTTGGATAGCTGTGAAGATTTCGTTGGAAACGGGAATATCTTCCTATAAAATCTAGACAGAAACATTCTCAGAAACTGCTCTGTGATGTCTGCATTCAAGTCACAGAGTTGAACATTGCCTTTCATAGAGCAGGTTTGAAACGCTCTTTTTGTAGTATATGGAAGTGGACGTTTCGGACGGTTTGAGGCCCATGGTGATGAAGGGAATATCTTCCCCTACAAGCTAGAAAGAAGCATTCTGTGAAACTTGTTTGTGATGTGTGTACTCAACTAAGAGAGTTGAACCTTTCTTTTCACAGAGCAGTTTTGAAACACTCTTTTTGTAGAATCTGCGAGGGGATATTTGGATACATTTCAGGATTTCGTTGGAAACGGGAATATCTTCATACAAAATCTCGACAGAAGCATTCTCAGAAGCTTCTTTGTGATATGTGCATTTAAGTCACAGAGTTGAATATTCCCTTTCACAGAGTAGGTTTGAAACACTCTTTTTGTAGTATCTGGAAGTGGACATTTGGAGCGCCTTGACGCCTACGGTGAAAAGGGAAATATCTTCTCATAAAAAGTAGACACAAGCAATCTCAGAATCTTCTTTGGGATATATGCACGCAGCTAACAGAGTTGAACCTTTCTATTGACAGAGCAGTTTTGAAACAGTCTTTCTGTGGAAGCTGCAAGTGGATATTTGGATAGGTTGGAGGATTTCGTTGGAAACGGGATTACATATAAAAAGTAGACAGCAGCATCCTCAGAAACTTCTTTGTGATGTGTGCATTCAAGTCACAGAGTTGAACATTCCCTTTCGTACAGCAGTTTTGAAACACTCTTTCTGTAGTATCTGGAAGTGAACATTAGGACAGCTTTCAGCTCTATGGTGAGAAAGGAAATATCTTCAAATAAAAACTAGACAGAAGCATTCTCATAAACTTGTTTCTGATGTGTGAACTCAGCTAACAGAGGTGGATCTTTCTTTTGATAGAGCAGTTCTGAAAAACACTTTTTGTTGAATCTGCAAGTGGACATTTGGATAGATTTGAAGATTTCTTTGTAAACGGGAATATCTTCATATCAAATCTAGACAGAAGCATTCTCAGAAACGTCTTTGTGATGTTGGCATTCAACTCATAGAGTTGAACATTCACTTTCAGAGAGCAGCTTTGAAGCACTCTTTTTGTAGTATGTGCAAGTGGATATTTGGAGCGCTCTGAGGCCTACGGTGAAAAAGCAAATATCTTCCCATAACCACTAGACAGAAACATTCTCAGAAACTCCTTTGTGACGTATGTACTCAACTAACAGAGAAGAACTTTCCTTTTGACAGAGCATTTTTGATACACTCTTTTTGTACTATCTGCAAGTGGATATTTGGATAGCTGTGAAGATTTCGTTGGAAACGGGAATATCTTCCCATAAAACCTAGACAGAAGCATTCTCAGAAACTGCTCTGTGATGTCTGCATTCAAGTCACAGAGTTGAACATTGCCTTTCATAGAGCAGGTTTGAAACGCTCTTTTTTGTAGTATATGGAAGTGGACTTTTCGGACGGTTTGAGGCCCATGGTGATAAAGGGAATATCTTCCCCTACAAGCTAGAAAGAAGCATTGTGTGAAACTTGTTTGTGATGTGTGTACTCAACTAACAGAGTTGAACCTTTCTTTTTACAGAGCAGTTTTGAAACACTCTTTTTGTAGAATCTGCGAGGGGATATTTGGATAGATTCCAGCATTTCGTTGGAAACGGGAATATCTTCATATAAAATCTCGACAGAAGCATTCTCAGAAACTTCTTTGTGATAACTGCATTCAAGTCACAGAGTTGAATATTCCCTTTCACCGAGTAGGTTTGAAACACTCTTTTTGTAGTATCTGGAAGTGGACATTTGGAGCGCCATGACGCCTACGGTGAAAAGGGAAATATCTTCCCATAAAAACTAGACAGAAGCAATCTCAGAATCCTCTTTGGGATATATGCACGCAGCTAACGGAGTTGAACCTTTCTATTGACAGAGCAGTTTTGAAACAGTCTTTCTGTGGAATCTGCAAGTGGATATTTGGATAGCTTGGAGGATTTCGTTGGAAACGGGATTACGTATAAAAAGTAGACAGCAGCCTCCTCAGAAACTTTCCTTGTGATGTGTGCATTCAAGTCACAGGGTTGAACATTCCCTTTCGTACAGCAGTTTTGAAACACTCTTTCTGTAGTATCTGGAAGTGAACATTAGGACAGCTTTCAGGTCTATGGTGAGAAAGGAAATATCTTCAAATAAAAACTAGACAGAAGCATTCTGATAAACTTGTTTGTGAAGTGTGATCTCAGCTAACAGAGGTGGATCTTTCTATTGATAGAGCAGTTCTGAAAAACACTTTGTTGAATCTGCAAGTGGACATTTGGATAGATTTGAAGATTTCGTTGGAAACGGGAATATCTTCATATCAAATCTAGACAGAAGCATTCTCAGAAACGTCTTTGCAATGTTTGCATTCAACTCATAGAGTTGAACATTCCGTTTCAGAGAGCAGCTTTGAGGCACTCTTTTTGTAGTATGTGCAAGTGGATATTTGGAGCGCTCAGAGGCCTACGGTGAAAAAGCAAATATCTTCCCATAACCACTAACAGAAACATTCTCAGAAACTCCTTTATGAGGTATGCACTCACCTAACAGAGAAGAACCTTCCTTTTGACAGAGCAGTTTTGATACACTCTTTTTGTAGAATCTGCAAGTGGATATTTGGATAGCTGTGAAGATTTCGTTGGAAACGGGAATATCTTCCTATAAAATCTAGACAGAAGCATTCTCAGAAACTGCTCTGTGTTGTCTGCATTCAAGTCACAGAGTTGAACATTGCCTTTCATAGAGCAGGTTTGAAACGCTCTTTTTGTAGTATATGGAAGTGGACTTATCGGACGGTTTGAGGCCCATGGTGATAAAGGGAATATCTTCCCCTACAAGCTAGAAAGAAGCATTCTGTGAAACTTGTTTGTGATGTGTGTACTCAACTAACAGAGTTGAACCTTTCTTTTTACAGAGCAGTTTTGAAACACTCTTTTTGTAGAATCTGCGAGGGGATATTTGGATACATTTCAGCATTTCGTTGGAAACGGGAATATCTTCATAAAAAATCTCGACAGAAGCATTCTCAGAAGCTTCTTTGTGATATGTGCATTCAAGTCACAGAGTTGAATATTCCCTTTCACAGAGTAGGTTTGAAACACTCTTTTTGTAGTATCTGGAAGTGGACATTTGGAGCGCCTTGACGCCTACGTTGAAAAGGGAAATACCTTCTCATAAAAAGTAGACAGAAGCAATCTCAGAATCTTCTTTGGGATATATGCACGCAGCTTACAGAGTTGAACCTTTCTATTGACAGAGCAGTTTTGAAACAGTCTTTCTGTGGAATCTGCAAGTGGATATTTGGATAGCTTGGAGGATTTCGTTGGAAACGGGATTACGTATAATAAGTAGACAGCAGCATCCTCAGAAACTTCTTTGTGATGTGTGCATTCAAGTCACAGAGTTGAACATTCCCTTTCGTACAGCAGTTTTGAAACACTCTTTCTGTAGTATCTGGAAGTGAACATTAGGACAGCTTTCAGGTCTATGGAGAGAAAGGAAATATCTTCAAATAAAAACTAGACAGAAGCATTCTCATAAACTTGTTTGTGATGTGTGAACTCAGCTAACAGAGGTGGATCTTTCTTTTGATAGAGCAGTTCTGAAAAACACTTTTTGTTGAATCTGCAAGTGCACATTTGGATAGATTTGAAGATTTCGTTGGAAACGGGAATATCTTCATATCAAATCTAGACAGAAGCATTCTCAGAAACGTCTTTGTCACGTTTGCATTCAACTCATAGAGTTGAACATTCCCTTTCAGAGAGCAGCTTTGAAACACTCTTTTTGTAGTATGTGCAAGTGGATATTTGGAGCGCTCTGAGGCCTACGGTGAAAAAGCAAATATCTTCCCATAACCACTAGACAGAAACATTCTCAGAAACTCCTTTATGACGTATGCACTCACCTAACAGAGAAGAACCTTCCTTTTGACAGAGCAGTTTTGATATACTCTTTTTGTAGAATCTGCAAGTGGATATTTGGATAGCTGTGAAGATTTCGTTGGAAACGGGAATATCTTCCTATAAAATCTAGACAGAAGCATTCTCAGAAACTGCTCTGTGATGTCTGCATTCAAGTCACAGAGTTGAACATTGCCTTTCATAGAGCAGGTTTGAAACACTCTTTTTTTAGTATATGGAAGTGGACGTTTCGGACGGTTTGAGGCCCATGGTGATAAAGGAAATATCTTCCCCTACAAGTTAGAAAGAAGCATTCTGTGAAACTTGTTTGTGATGTGTGTACTCAACTAAGAGAGTTGAACCTTTCTTTTCACAGAGCAGTTTTGAAACACTCTTTTTGTAGAATCTGCGAGGGGATATTTGGATAGATTTCAGCATTTCTTTGGAAACGGGAATATCTTCATATAAAATCTCGACAGAAGCATTCTCAGAAACTTCTTTGTGATATGTGCATTCAAGTCACAGAGTTGAATATTCCCTTTCACAGAGTAGGTTTGAAACACTCTTTTTGTAGTTTCTGGAAGTGGACATTTGGAGCGCCTTGACACCTACGGTGAAAAGGGAAATATCTTCCCATAAAAACTAGACAGAAGCAATCTCAGAATCTTCTTTGGGATATATGCACGCAGCTAACAGAGTTGAATCTTTCTGTTGACAGAGCAGATTTGAAACAGTCTTTCTGTGGAATCTGCAAGTGGATATTTGGATAGCTTGGAGGATTTCGTTGGAAACGGGATTATGTATAAAAAGTAGACAGCAGCATCCTCAGAAACTTCTTTGTGATGTGTGCATTCAAGTCACAGAGTTGAACATTCCCTTTCGTACAGCAGTTTTGAAACACTGTTTCTGTAGTATCTGGAACTGAACATTAGGACAGCTTTAAGGTCTATGGTGAGAAAGGAAATATCTTCAAATAAAAACTAGACAGAAGCATTCTCATCAACTTGTTTGTGATGTGTGAACTCAGCTAACAAAGGTGGATCTTTCTTTTGATAGAGCAGTTCTGAAAAACACGATTTGTTGAATCTGCAAGTGGACATTTGGATAGATTTGAAGATTTCGTTGGAAACGGGAATATCTTCATATCAAATCTAGACAGAAGCATTCTCGGAAACGTCTTTGTCACGTTTGCATTCAACTCATAGAGTTGAACATTCCGTTTCAGAGAGCAGCTTTGAAGCACTCTTTTTGTAGTATGTGCAAGGGGATATTTGGAGCGCTGTGAGGCCTACGGTGAAAAAGCAAATATCTTCCCATAACCACTAGACAGAAACATTCTCAGAAACTCCTTTATGACGTATGCACTCACCTAACAGAGAAGAACCTTCCTTTTGACAGAGCAGTTTTGATACACTTTTTTTGTAGAATCTGCAAGTGGATATTTGGATAGCTGTGAAGATTTCGTTGGAAACGGGAATATCTTCCTATAAAATCTAGACAGAAGCATTCTCAGAAACTGCTCTGTGATGTCTGCATTCAAGTCACAGAGTTGAACATTGCCTTTCATAGAGCAGGTTTGAAACGCTCTTTTTGTAGTATATGGAAGTGGACGTTTCGGACGGTTTGAGACCCATGGTGATAAAGGGAATATATTCCCCTACAAGCTAGAAAGAAGCATTCTGTGAAACTTGTTTGTGATGTGTGTACTCAACTAACAGAGTTGAACCTTTCTTTTTACAGAGCAGTTTTGAAACACTCTTTTTGTAGAATCTGCGAGGGGATATTTGGATACATTTCAGGATTTCGTTGGAAACGGGAATACCTTCATATAAAATCTCGACAGAAGCATTCTCAGAAACTTCTTTGTGATATCTGCATTCAAGTCACAGAGTTGAATATTCCCTTTCACCGAGTAGGTTAGAAACACTCTTTTTGTAGTATCTGGAAGTGGACATTTGGAGCGCCTTGACGCCTACGGTGAAAAGGGAAATATCTTCCCATTAAAACTAGACAGAAGCAATCTCAGAATCTTCTTTGGGATATATGCACGCAGCTAACAGAGTTGAACCTTTCTATTGACAGAGCAGTTTTGAAACAGTCTTTCTGTGGAATCTGCAAGTGGATATTTGGATAGTTGGAGGATTTCGTTGGAAACGGGATTACGTATAAAAAGTAGACAGCAGCATCCTCAGAAACTTCTTTGTGATGTGTGCATTCAAGTCACAGAGTTGAACATTCCCTTTCGTACAGCAGTTTGGAAACACTCTTTCTGTAGTATCTGGAAGTGAACATTAGGACAGCTTTCAGGTCTATGGTGAGAAAGGAAATATCTTCAAATAAAAACTAGACAGAAGCATTCTCATAAACTTGTTCGTGATGTGTGAACTCAGCTAACACACGTGGATCTTTCTTTTGATAGAGCAGTTCTGAAAAACACTTTTTGTTGAATCTGCAAGAGGACAGTTGGATAGATTTGAAGATTTCGTTGGAAACGGGAATATCTTCATATCAAATCTAGACAGAAGCATCTCAGAAACGTCTTTGCGATGTTTGCATTCAACTCATAGAGTTGAACATTCCGTTTCAGAGAGCAGCTTTGAGGCACTCTTTTTGTAGTATGTGCAAGTGGATATTTGGAGCGCTCTGAGGCCTACGGTGAAAAAGCAAATATCTTCCCATAACCACTAGACAGAAACATTCTCAGAAACTCCTTTATGACGTATGCACTCACCTAACAGAAAAGAACCTTCCTTTTGACAGAGCAGTTTTGATACACTCTTTTTGTAGAATCTGCAAGTGGATATTTGGATAGCTGTGAAGATTTCGTTGGAAACGGGAATATCATCCTATAAAATCTAGACAGAAGCATTCTCAGAAACTGCTCTGTGATGTCTGCATTCAAGTCACAGAGTTGAACATTGCCTTTCACAGAGCAGCTTTGAAATGCTCTTTTTGTAGTATATGGAAGTGGACGTTTCAGACGGTTTGAGGCCCATGGTGATAAAGGGAATATCTTCCCCTACAAGCTAGAAAGAAGCATTATGTGAAACTTGTTTGTGATGTGTGTACTCAACTAACAGAGTTGAACCTTTCTTTTTACAGAGCAGTTTTGAAACACTCTTTTTGTAGAATCTGCGAGGGGATATTTGGATAGATTTCAGGATTTCGTTGGAAACGGGAATATCTTCATATAAAATCTCGACAGAAGCATTCTCAGAAACTTCCTTGTGATATGTGCATTCAAGTCACAGGAGTTGAATATTCCCTTTCACAGGAGTAGGTTTGAAACACTCTTTTTGTAGTATCTGGAAGTGGACATTTGGAGCGCCTTGACGCCTACGGTGAAAAGGGAAATATCTTCCCATAAAAACTAGACAGAAGCAATCTCAGAATCTTCTTTGGGATATATGCACGCAGCTAACAGAGTTGAACCTTTCTCTTGACAGAGCAGTTTTGAAACATTCTTTCTGTGGAATCTGCAAGTGGATATTTGGATAGCTTGGAGGATTTCGTTGGAAACGGGATTATGTATAAAAAGTAGACAGCAGCATCCTCAGAAACTTCTTTGTGAAGTGTGCATTCAAGTCACAGAGTTGAACATCCCGTTTCGTACAGCAGTTTTGAAACACTCTTTCTGTAGTATCTGGAAGAAAACATTAGGACAGCTTTCAGGTCTATGGTGAGAAAGGAAATATCTTCAAATAAAAACTAGACAGAAGCATTCTCATAAACTTGTTTGTGATGTGTGAACTCAGCTAACAGAGGTGGATCTTCCCTTTTGATAGAGCAGTTCTGAAAAACTCATTTTGTTGAATCTGCAAGTGGACATTTGGATAGATTTGAAGATTTCGTTGGAAACGGGAATATCTTCATATCAAATCTAGACAGAAGCATTCTCAGAAACGTCTTTGCGATGTTTGCATTCAACTCATAGAGTTGAACATTCCGTTTCAGAGAGCAGCTTTGAGGCACTCTTTTTGTAGTATGTGCAAGTGGATATTTAGAGCGCTCTGAGGCCTACGGTGAAAAAGCAAATATCTTCCCATAACCACTAGACAGAAACATTCTCAGAAACTCCTTTATGACGTATGCACTCACCTAACAGAGAATAACCTTCCTTTTGACAGAGCATTTTTGATACACTCTTTTTGTAGCATCTGCAAGTGGATATTTGGATAGCTGTGAAGATTTCGTTGGAAACGGGAATATCTTCCTATAAAATCTAGACAGAAGCATTCTCAGGAACTGCTCTGCGATGTCTGTATTCAAGTCACAGAGTTGAACATTGCCTTTCATAGAGCAGGTTTGAAACGCTCTTTTTGTAGTATATGGAAGTAGACGTTTCGGACGGTTTGAGGCCCATGGTGATAAAGGGAATATCTTCCCCTACAAGCTAGAAAGAAGCATTCTGTGAAACTTGTTTGTGATGTGTGTACTCAACTAACAGAGTTGAAGCTTTCTTTTTACAGAGCAGTTTTGAAACACTCTTTTTGTAGAATCTGCGAGGGGATATTTGGATAGATTTCAGGATTTCGTTGGAAACGGGAATATCTTCATATAAAATCTCGACAGAAGCATTCTCAGAAACTTCTTTGTGATATCTGCATTCAAGCCACAGAGTTGAATATTCCCTTTCACAGAGTAGGGTTGAAACACTCTTTTTGTAGTATCTGGAAGTGGACATTTGCAGCGCCTTGACACCTACGGTGAAAAGGGAAATATCTTCCCATAAAAACTAGACAGAAGCAATCTCAGAATCTTCTTTGGGATATATGTACGCAGCTAATAGAGTTGAACCTTTCTATTGACAGAGCAGTTTTGAAACAGTCTTTCTGTGGAATCTGCAAGTAGATATTTGGATAGCTTGGAGGATTTCGTTGGAAACGGGATTACGTATAAAAAGTAGACAGCAGCATCCTCAGAAACTTCTTTGTGATGTGTGCATTCAAGTCACAGAGTTGAACATTCCCTTTCGTACAGCAGTTTTGAAACACTCTTTCTGTAGTATCTGGAAGTGAACATTAGGACAGCCTTCAGGTCTATGGTGAGAAAGGAAATATCTTCAAATAAAAACTAGACAGAAGCATTCTGATAAACTTGTTTGTGAAGTGTGATCTCAGCTAACAGAGGTGGATCTTTCTTTTGATAGAGCAGTTCTGAAAAACACTTTGTTGAATCTGCAAGTGGACATTTGGATAGATTTGAAGATTTCGTTGGAAACGGGAATATCTTCATATCAAATACTAGACAGAAGCATTCTCAGAAACGTCTTTGTGATGTTTGCATTCAACTCATAGAGTTGAACATTCCCTTTCAGAGAGCAGCTTTGAAGCACTCTTTTTGTAGTATGTGCAAGTGGATATTTGGAGCGCTCTGAGGCCTACGGTGAAAAAGCAAATATCTTCCCATAACCACAAGACAGAAACATTCTCAGAAACTCCTTTATGACGTATGCACTCACCTAACAGAGAAGAGCCTTCCTTTTGACAGAGCAGTTTTGATACACTCTTTTTGTAGAATCTGCAAGTGGATATTTGGATAGCTGTGAAGATTTCGTTGGAAACGGGAATATCTTCCTATAAAATCTAGACAGAAGCATTCTCAGAAACTGCTCTGTGATGTCTGCATTCAAGTCACAGAGTTGAACATTGCCTTTCCTAGAGCAGGTTTGAAACGCTCTTTTTGTAGTATATGGAAGTGGACGTTTCCGACGGTTTGAGGCCCATGGTGATAAAGGGAATATCTTCCCCTACAAGCTAGAAAGAAGCATTCTGTGAAACTTGTTTGTGATGTGTGTACTCAACTAACAGAGTTGAACCTTGCTTTTCACAGAGCAGTTTTGAAACACTCTTTTTGTAGAATCTGCGAGCGGATATTTGGATAGATTTCAGGATTTCGTTGGAAACGGGAATATCTTCATATAAAATCTCGACAGAAGCATTCTCAGAAACTTCTTTGTGATATGTGCATTCAAGTCACAGAGTTGAATATTCCCTTTCACAGAGTAGGTTTGAAACACTCTTTTTGTAGTATCTGGAAGTGGATATTTGGAGCACCTTGACACCTACGGTGAAAAGGGAAATATCTTCCCATAAAAACTAGACAGAAGCAATCTCAGAATCTTCTTTGGGATATATGCACGCAGCTAACAGAGTTGAACCTTTCTATTGACAGAGCAGTTTAGAAACAGTCTTTCTGTGGAATCTGCAAGTGGATATTTGGATAGATTGGAGGATTTCGTTGGAAACGGGATTACGTATAAAAAGTAGACAGCAGCATCCTCAGAAACATCCTTGTGATGTGTGCATTCAAGTCACAGAGTTGAACATTCCCTTTCGTACAGCAGTTTTGAAACACTCTTTCTGTAGTATCTGGAAGTGAACTTTAGGACAGCTTTCAGGTCTATAGTGAGAAAGGATATATCTTCAAATAAAAACTAGACGGAAGCATTCTCATAAACTTGTTTGTGATGTGTGAACTCAGCTAACAGACGTGGATCTTTCTTTTGATACAGCAGTTTTGAAAAACACTTTTTGTTGAATCTGCAAGTGGACATTTGGATAGATTTGAAGATTTCGTTGGAAACGGGAATATCTTCATATCAAATCTAGACAGAAGCATTCTCAGAAACGTCTTTGTGATGTTTGCATTCAACTCATAGCGAGTTGAACATTCCCTTTCAGAGAGCAGCTTTGAAGCACTCTTTTTGTAGTATGTGCAAGTGGATATTTGGAGCGCTCTGAGGCCTACGGGGAAAAAGCAAATATCTTCTCCATAACCACTAGACAGGAACATTCTCAGAAATTCCTTTATGACGTATGCACTCACGTAACAGAGAAGAACCTTCCTTTTGACAGAGCAGTTTTGATACACTCTTTTTGTAGAATCTGCAAGTGGATATTTGGATACCTGTGAAGATTTCGTTGGAAACGGGAATATCTTCCTATAAAATCTAGACAGAAGCATTCTCAGAAACTGCTCTGTGATGTCTGCATTCAAGTCACAGAGTTGAACATTGCCTTTCATAGAGCAGGTTTGAAACACTCTTTTTGTAGTATATGGAAGTGGACGTTTCGGACGGTTTGAGGCCCATGGTGATTTGGGGAATATCTTCCCCTACAAGCTAGAAAGAAGCATTCTGTGAAACTTGTTTGTGATGTGTGTACTCAACTAACAGAGTTGAACCTTTCTTTTTACAGAGCAGTTTTGAAACACTCTTTCTGTAGAATCTGCGAGGGGATATTTGGATAGATTTCAGCATTTCGTTGGAAACGGGAATATCTTCATATAAAATCTCGACAGAAGCATTCTCAGAAACTTCTTTGTGATAACTGCATTCAAGTCACAGAGTTGAATATTCCCTTTCACCGAGTAGGTTTGAAACACTCTTTTTGTAGTATCTGGAAGTGGACATTTGGAGCGCCATGACGCCTACGGTGAAAAGGGAAATATCTTCCAATAAAAACTAGACAGAAGCAATTTCAGAATCTTCTTTGGGATATATGCACGCAGCTAACAGAGTTGAACCTTTCTATTGACAGAGCAGTTTTGAAACAGTCTTTCTGTGGAATCTGCAAGCGGATATTTGGATAGTTGGAGGATTTCGTTGGAAACGGGATTACGTATAAAAAGTAGACAGCAGCATCCTGAGAAACTTACTTTGTGATGTGTGCATTCAAGTCACAGAGTTGAACATTCCCTTTCGTACAGCAGTATTGAAACACTCTTTCTGTAGTATCTGGAAGTGAACATTAGGACAGCTTTCAGGTCTATGGTGAGAAAGGAAATATCTTCAAATAAAAAGTAGACAGAAGCATTCTCATAAACTTGTTTGTGATGTGTGAACTCAGCTAAGAGACGTGGATCTTTCTTTTGATAGAGCAGTTCTGAAAAACACTTTTTGTTGAATCTGCAAGTGGACATTTGGATAGATTTGAAGATTTCGTTGGAAACGGGAATATCTTCATATCAAATCTAGACAGAAGCATTCTCAGAAACGTCTTTGTGATGTTTGCATTCAACTCATAGAGTTGAACATTCCGTTTCAGAGAACAGCTTTGAAGCACTCTTTTTGTAGTATGTGCAAGTGGATATTTGGAGCGCTCTGAGGCCTACGGTGAAAAAGCAAATATCTTCCCATAACCACTAGACAGAACCATTCTCAGAAACTCCTTTATGACGTATGCACTCACCTAACAGAGAAGAACCTTCCTTTTGACAGAGCACTTTTGATACACTCTTTTTGTAGAATCTGCAAGTGGATATTTGGATAGCTGTGAAGATTTCGTTGGAAACGGGAATATCTTCCTATAAAATCTAGACAGAAGTATTCTCAGAAACTGCTCTGAGATGTCTGCATTCAAGTCACAGAGTTGAACATTGCCTTTCATAGAGCAGGTGTGAAACGCTCTTTTTGTAGTATATGGAAGTGGATGTTTCGGACGGTTGGAGGCCCATGGTGATAAAGGGAATATCTTCCCCTACAAGCTAGAAAGAAGCATTCTGTGAAACTTGTTTGTGATGTGTGTACTCAACTAACAGGGTTGAACCTTTCTTTTTACAGAGCAGTTTTGAAACACTCTTTTTGTAGAATCTGCGAGGGGATATTTGGATAGATTTCAGGATTTCTTTGGAAACGGGAATATCTTCATATAAAATCTCGACAGAAGCATTCTCAGAAACTTCTTTGTCATATGTGCATTCAAGTCACAGAGTTGAATATTCCCTTTCACAGAGTAGGTTTGAAACACTCTTTTTGTAGTATCTGGAAGTGGACATTTGGAGCGCCTTGACGCCTACGGTGAAAAGGGAAATATCTTCCCATAAAAACTAGACAGAAGCAATCTCGGAATCTTCTTTGGGATATATGCACGCAGCTAACAGAGTTGAACCTTTCTATTGACAGAGCAGTTTTGAAACAGTCTTTCTGTAGAATCTGCAAGTGGATATTTGGATAGCTTGGAGGATTTCGTTGGAAACGGGATTACGTATAAAAAGTAGACAGCAGCATCCTCAGAAACTTCTTTGTGATGTGTGCATTCAAGTCACAGAGTTGAACATTCCCTTTCGTACAGCAGTTTTGAAACACTCTTTCTGTAGTATCTGGAAGTGAACATTAGGACAGCTTTCAGCTCTATGGTGAGAAACGAAATATCTTCAAATAAAAACTAGACAGAAGCATTCTCATAAACTTGTTTGTGATGTGTGAACTCAGCTAACAGAGGTGGATCTTTCTTTTGATAGAGCAGTTCTGAAAACCACTTTTTGTTGAATCTGCAAGTGGACATTTGGATAGATTTGAAGATTTCGTTGGAAACGGGAATATCTTCATATCAAATCTAGACAGAAGCATTCTCAGAAACGTCTTTGCGATGTTTGCATTCAACTCATAGAGTTGAACATTCCGTTTCAGAGAGCAGCTTTGAGGCACTCTTTTTATAGTATGTGCAAGTGGATATTTGGAGCGCTCTGAGGCCTACGGTGAAAAAGCAAATATCTTCCCATAACCACTAGACAGAAAGCATTCTCAGAAACTGCTCTGTGATGTCTGCATTCAAGTCACAGAGTTGAACATTGCCTTTCATAGAGCAGGTTTGAAATGCTCTTTTTGTAGTATATGGAAGTGGACTTTTCGGACGGTTTGAGGCCCATGGTGATAAAGGGAATATCTTCCCCTACAAGCTAGAAAGAAGCATTCTGTGAAACTTGTTTGTGATGTGTGTACTCAACTAACAGAGTTGAACATTTCTTTTCACAGAGCAGTTTTGAAACACTCTTTTTGTAGAATCTGCGAGCGGATATTTGGATAGATTTCAGGATTTCGTTGGAAACGGGAATATCTTCCTATAAAATCTAGACAGAAGCATTCTCAGAAACTTCTTTGTGATATGTGCATTCAAGTCACAGATTTGAATGTTCCCTTTCACAGAGAAGGTTTGAAACACTCTTTTTCTAGTATCTGGAAGTGGACATTTGGAGCGCCTTGACGCCTACGGTGAAAAGGGAAATATCTTCCCATAAAAACTAGACAGAAGCAATCTCAGAATCTTCTTTGGGATATATGCACGCAGCTAACAGAGTTGAACCATTCTATTGACTGAGCAGATTTGAAACAGTCTTTCTGTGGAATCTGCAAGTGGATATTTGGATAGATTGGAGGATTTCGTTGGAAACGGGATTACGTATAAAAAGTAGACAGCAGCATCCTCAGAAACTTCTTTGTGATGTGTGCATTCAAGTCACAGAGTTGAATATTCCCTTTCGTACAGCAGTTTTGAAACACTCTTTCTGTAGTATCTGGAAGTGAACATTAGGACAGCTTTCAGGTCTATGGTGAGAAAGGAAATATCTTCAAATAAAAACTAGACAGAAAGCATTCTCATAAACTTGTTTGTGATGTGTGAACTCAGCTAACAGAGGTGGATCTTTCTTTTGATAGAGCAGTTCGGAAAAACACTTTTTGTTGAATCTGCAAGTGGACATTTGGATAGATTTGAAGATTTCGTTGGAAACGGGAATATCTTTATATCAAATCTAGACAGAAGCATTCTCGGAAACGTCTTTGTCATGTTTGCATTCAACTCATAGAGTTGAACATTCCGTTTCAGAGAGCAGCTTTGAAGCACTCTTTTTATAGTATGTGCAAGGGGATATTTGGAGTGCTCTGAGGCCTAAGGTGAAAAAGCAAATATCTTCCCATAACCACTAGACAGAAACATTCTCAGAAACTCCTTTATGACGTATGCACTCACCTAACAGAGAAGAACCTTCCTTTTGACAGAGCAGTTTTGATACACTCTTTTTATAGAATCTGCAAGTGGATATTTGGATAGCTGTGAAGATTTCGTTGGAAACGGGAATATCTTCCTATAAAATCTATACAGAAGCATTCTCAGAAACTGCTCTGTGATGTCTGCATTCAAGTCACAGAGTTGAACATTGCCTTTCCTAGAGCAGGTTTGAAACGCTCTTTTTTAGTATATGGAAGTGGACGTTTCAGACGGTTTGAGGCCCATGGTGTTAAAGGGAATATCTTCCCCTACAAGCTAGAAAGAAGCATTCTGTGAAACTTGTTTGTGATGTGTGTACTCAACTAACAGAGTTGAACCTTTCTTTTCACAGAGCAGTTTTGAAACACTCTTTTTGTAGAATCTGCGAGGGGATATTTGGATAGATTTCAGCATTTCGTTGGAAACAGGAATATCTTCATATAAAATCTCGACAGAAGCATTCTCAGAAACTTCTTTGTGATATGTGCATTCAAGTCAGAGATTTGAATATTCCCTTTCACAGAGTAGGTTTGAAACACTCTTTTTGTAGTATCTGGAAGTGGTCATTTGGAGCGCCTTGATGCCCACGGTGAAAAGGGAAATATCTTCCCATAAAAACTAGACAGAAGCAATCTCAGAATCTTCTTTGGGATATATGCACGCAGTTAACAGAGTTGAACCTTTCTATTGACAGAGCAGTTTTGAAACAGTCTTTCTGTGGAATCTCCAAGTGGATATTTGGATAGCTTGGAGGATTTCGTTGGAAACGGGATTACGTATAAAAAGTAGACAGCAGCATCCTCAGAAACTTCTTTGTGATGTGTGCATTCAAGTCACAGGAGTTGAACATTCCCTTTCATACAGCAGTTTTGAAACACTCTTTCTGTAGTATCTGGAAGTGAACATTAGGACAGCTTTCAGCTCTATGGTGAGAAAGGAAATATCTTCAAATAAAAACTAGACAGAAGCATTCTCCTAAACTTGTTTGTGATGTGTGAACTCAGCTAACAGACGTGGATCTTTCTTTTGATACAGGAGTTTTGAAAAACACTTTTTGTTGAATCTGCAAGTGGACATTTGGATAGATTTGAAGATTTCGTTGGAAACGGGAATATCTTCATATCAAATCTAGACAGAAAGCATTCTCAGAAACGTCTTTGTGATGTTTACATTCAACTCATAGAGTTGAACATTCCCTTTCAGAGAGCAGCTTTGAAGCACTCTTTTTGTAGCATGTGCAAGTGGACATTTGGAGCGCTCTGAGGTCTACGGGGAAAAAGCAAATATCTTCCCATAACCACTAGACAGAAACATTCTCAGAAACTCCTTTATGATGTATGCACTCACCTAACAGAGAAGAACCTTCCTTTTGACAGAGCAGTTTTGATACACTCTTTTTGTAGAATCTGCAAGTGGATATTTGGATACCTGTGAAGATTTCGTTGGAAACGGGAATATCTTCCTATAAAATGTAGACAGAAGCATTCTCAGAAACTGCTCTGTGATGTCTGCATTCAAGTCACAGAGTTGAACATTACCTTTCATAGAGCAGGTTTGAAACGCTCTTTTTGTAGTATATGGAAGTGGATGTTTCGGACGGTTGGAGGCCCATGGTGATAAAGGGAATATCTTCCCCTACAAGCTAGAAAGAAGCATTCTGTGAAAGTTGTTTGTGATGTGTGTACTCAACTAACCGAGTTGAACCTTTCTTTTTACAGAGCAGTTTTGAAACACTCTTTTTGTAGAATCTGCGAGGGGATATTTGGATAGATTTCAGGATTTCGTTGGAAACGGGAATATCTTCATATAAAATCTCGACAGAAGCATTCTCAGAAACTTCTTTGTGATATCTGCATTCAAGTCACAGAGTTGAATATTCCCTTTCACAGAGTAGGTTTGAAACACTCTTTTTGTAGTATCTGGAAGTGGACATTTGGAGCGCCTTGACACCTACCGTGAAAAGGGAAATATCTTCCCATAAAAACTAGACAGAAGCAATCTCAGAATCTTCTTTGGGATATATGCACGCAGCTAACAGAGTTGAACCTTTCTATTGACAGAGCAGTTTTGAAACAGTCTTTCTGTGGAATCCGCAAGTGGATATTTGGATAGCTTGGAGGATTTCGTTGGAAACGGGATTACGTATAAAAAGTAGACAGCAGCATCCTCAGAAACTTCTTTGTGATGTGTGCATTCAAGTCACAGAGTTGAACATTCCCTTTTGTACAGCAGTTTTGAAACACTCTTTCTGTAGTATCTGGAAGTGAACATTAGGACAGCTTTCAGCTCTATGGTGAGAAAGGAAATATCTTCAAATAAAAACTAGACAGAAGCATTCTCAGTAAACGTCTTTGTGATGTTTGCATTCAACTCATAGAGTTGAACATTCCGTTTCAGAGAGCAGCTTTGAAGCACTCTTTTTGTAGTATGTGCAAGGGGATATTTGGAGCGCTCTGAGGCCTACGGTGAAAAAGCAAATATCTTCCCATAACCACTAGACAGAAACATTCTCAGAAATTCCTTTATGACGTATGCACTCACCTAACAGAGAAGAACCTTCCTTTTGACAGAGCAGTTTTGATACACTCTTTTTGTAGAATCTGCAAGTGGATATTTGGATACCTGTGAAGATTTCGTTGGAAACGGGAATAACTTCCTATAAAATCTAGACAGAAGCATTCTCAGAAACTGCTCTGTGATGTCTGCATTCAAGTCACAGAGTTGAACATTGCCTTTCATAGAGCAGGTTTGAAACACTCTTTTTGTAGTATATGGAAGTGGACGTTTCGGACGGTTTGAGGCCCATGGTGATTTAGGGAATATCTTCCCCTACAAGCTAGAAAGAAGCATTCTGTGAAACATGCTTGCGATGTGTGTACTCAACTAACAGTGTTGAACCTTTCTTTTTACAGAGCAGTTTGGAAACACTCTTTTTGTAGAATCTGCGAGGGGATATTTGGATAGATTTCAGGATTTCGTTGAAAACGGGAATATCTTCATATAAAATCTCGACAGAAGCATTCTCAGAAACTTCCTTGTGATATGTGCATTCAAGTCACAGAGTTGAATATTCCCTTTCACAGAGTAGGTTTGAAACACTCTTTTTGTAGTATCTGGAAGTGGACATTTGGAGCGCCTTGACGGCCCACGGTGAAAAGGGAAATATCTTCCCATAAAAACTAGACAGAAGCAATCTCAGAATCTTCTTTGGGATATATGCACGCAGTTAACAGAGTTGAACCTTTCTATTGACAGAGCAGTTTTGAAACAGTCTTTCTGTGGAATCTGCAAGTGGATATTTGGATAGCTTGGAGGATTTCGTTGGAAATGGGATTACGTATAAAAAGTAGACAGCAGCATCCTCAGAAACTTCTTTGTGATGTGTGCATTCAAGTCACAGAGTTGAACATTCCCTTTCGTAAAGCAGTTTTGAAACACTCTTTCTGTAGTATCTGGAAGTGAACATTAGGACAGCTTTCAGGTCTATGGTGAGAAAGGAAATATCTTCAAATAAAAACTAGACAGAAGCATTCTCATAAACTTGTTTGTGATGTGTGAACTCAGCTAACAGAGGTGGATCTTTCTTTTGATAGAGCAGTTCTGAAAAACACTTTTTGTTGAATCTGCAAGTGGACATTTGGATAGATTTGAAGATTTCTTTGGAAACGGGAATATCTATATATCAAATCTAGACAGAAGCATTCTCGAAAACGTCTTTGTGATGTTTGCATTCAACTCATAGAGTTGAACATTCCGTTTCAGAGAGCAGCTTTGAGGCACTCATTTTGTAGTATGTGCAAGTGGATATTTGGAGCGCTCTGAGGCCTTCGGTGAAAAAGCAAATATCTTCCCATAACCACTAGACAGAAACATTCTCAGAAACTCCTTTATGACGTATGTACTCAACTAACAGAGAAGAACCTTCTTTTTGACAGTGCAGTTTTGATACACTCTTTTTGTAGAATCTGCAAGTGCATATTTGGATAGCTGTGAAGATTTCGTTGGAAACGGGAATATCTTCCTATAAAATCTAGACAGAAGCATTCTCAGAAACTGCTCTGTGATGTCTGCATTCAAGTCACAGAGTTGAACATTGCCTTTCATAGAGCAGGTTTGAAACGCTCTTTTTGTAGTATATGGAAGTGGATGTTTCGGACGGTTGGAGGCCCATGGTCATAAAGGGAATATCTTCCCCTACAAGCTAGAAAGAAGCATTCTGTGAAACTTGTTTGTGATGTGTGTACTCAACTAACAGAGTTGAACCTTTCTTTTTACAGAGCAGTTTTGAAACACTCTTTTTGTAGAATCTGCGAGGGGATATTTGGATAGATTTCAGGATTTCATTGGAAACGGGAATATCTTCATATAAAATCTCGACAGAAGCATTCTCAGAAACTTCTTTGTGATATCTGCATTCAAGTCACAGAGTTGAATATTCCCTTTGACAGAGTAGGTTTGAAACACTCTTTTTGTAGTATCTGGAAGTGGACATTTGGAGCGCCTTGACACCTACGGTGAAAAGGGAAATATCTTCCCATAAAAACTAGACAGAAGCAATCTCAGAATCTTCTTTGGGATATATGCACGCAGCTAACAGAGTTGAACCTTTCTATTGACAGAGCAGTTTTGAAACAGTCTTTCTGTGGAATCTGCAAGTGGATATTTGGATAGCTTGGAGGATTTCGGTGGAAACGGGATTACGTATAAAAAGTAGACAGCAGCATCCTCAGAAACTTCTTTGTGATGTGTGCATTCAAGTCACAGAGTTGAACATTCCCTTTCGTACAGCAGTTTTGAAACACTCTTTCTGTAGTATCTGGAAGTGAACATTAGGACAGCTTTCAGGTCTATGGTGAGAAAGGAAATAACTTCAAATAAAAACTAGACAGAAGCATTCTCATAAATTTGTTTGTGATGTGTGAACTCAGCTAACAGACGTGGATCTTTCTTTTGATACAGCAGTTTTGAAAAACACTTTTTGTTGAGTCTGCATGTGGACATTTGGATAGATTTGAAGATTTCGTTGGAAACGGGAATATCTTCATATCAAATCTAGACAGAAGCATTCTCAGAAACGTCTTTGTGATGTTTGCATTCAACCCATAGAGTTGAACATTCCGTTTCAGAGAGCAGCTTTGAAGCACTCTTTTTGTAGTATGTGCAAGGGGATATTTTGAGCGCTCTGAGGCCTAAGGTGAAAAAGCAAATATCTTCCCATAACCACTAGACAGAAACATTCTCAGAAACCCCTTTATGACGTATGCACTCACCTAACAGAGAAGAACCTTCCTTTTGACTGAGCAGTTTTGATACACTCTTTTTGTAGAATCTGCAAGTGGATATTTGGATAGCTGTGAAGATTTCGTTGGAAACGGGAATATCTTCCTATAAAATCTAGACAGAAGCATTCTCAGAAACTGCTCTGTGATGTCTGCATTCAAGTCACAGAGTTGAACATTGCCTTTCATAGAGCCGGTTTGAAACGCTCTTTTTGTAGTATATGGAAGTGGATGTTTCGGACGGTTGGAGGCCCATGGTGATAAAGGGAATATCTTCCCCTACAAGCTAGAAAGAAGCATTCTGTGAAACTTGTTTGTGATGTGTGTACTCAACTAACAGAGTTGAACCTTTCTTTTTACAGAGCAGTTTTGAAACACTCTTTCTGTAGAATCTGCGAGGGGATATTTGGATAGATTTCAGGATTTCGTTGGAAACCGGAATATCTTCATATAAAATCTCGACAGAAGCATTCTCAGAAAATTCTTTGTGATATGTGCATTCAAGTCACAGAGTTGAATATTCCCTTTCACAGAGTAGGTTTGAAACACTCTTTTAGTAGTATCTGGAAGTGGACATTTGGAGCGCCTTGACGCCTACGGTGAAAAGGGAAATATCTTCCCATAAAAACTAGACAGAAGCAATCTCAGAATCTTCTTTGGGATATATGCACGCAGCTAACAGAGTTGAACCTTTCTATTGACAGAGCAGTTTTGAAACAGTCTTTCTGTGGAATCTGCAAGTGGATATTTGGATAGATTGGAGGATTTCGTTGGAAACGGGATTACGTATAAAAAGTAGACAGCAGCATCCTCAGAAACTTCTTTGTGATGTGTGCATTCAAGTCACAGGGTTGAACATTCCCTTTCGTACAGCAGTTTTGAAACACTCTTTCTGTAGTATCTGGGAGTGAACATTAGGACAGCTTTCAGGTCTATGGTGAGAAAGGAAATATCTTCAAATAAAAACTAGACAGAAGCATTCTCATAAACTTGTTTGGTGATGTGTGAACTCAGCTAACAGAGGTGGATCTTTCTTTTGATAGAGCAGTTCTGAAAAACACTTTTTGTTGAATCTGCAAGTGGACATTCGGATAGATTTGAAGATTTCATTGGAAACGGGAATATCTTCATATCAAATCTAGACAGAATCATTCCCAGAAACGTCTTTGTGATGTTTGCATTCAACTCATATAGTTGAACATTCCCTTTCAGAGAGCAGCTTTGAAGCACTCTTTTTGTAGTATGTGCAAGGGGATATTTGGAGCGCTCTGAGGCCTACGGTGAAAAAGCAAATATCTTCGCATAACCACTAGACAGAAACATTCTCAGAAACTCCTTTATGACGTATGCACTCACCTAACAGAGAAGAACCTTCCTTTTGACAGAGCAGATTTGATACACTCTTTTTATAGAATCTGCAAGTGGATATTTGGATAGCTGTGAAGATTTCGTTGGAAACGGGAATATCTTCCTATAAAATCTAGACAGAAGCATTCTCAGAAACTGCTCTGTGATGTCTGCATTCAAGTCACAGAGTTGAACATTGCCTTTCATAGAGCAGGTTTGAAACGCTCTTTTTGTAGTATATGGAAGTTGACGTTTCGGACGGTTTGAGGCCCATGGTGATAAAGGGAATATCTTCCCCTACAAGCTAGAAAGAAGCATTCTGTGAAACTTGTTTGTGATGTGTGTACTCAACTAACAGAGTTGAACCTTTCTTTTTACAGAGCAGTTTTGAAACACTCTTTTTGTAGAATCTGCGAGGGGATATTTGGATAGATTTCAGGATTTCGTTGGAAACGGGAATATCTTCAAATAAAATCTCGACAGATGCATTCTCAGAAACTTCTTTGTGATATGTGCATTCTAGTCACAGAGTTGAATATTCCCTTTCATAGAGTAAGTTTGAAACACTCTTTTTGTACTATCTGGAAGTGGACATTTGGAGCGCCTTGACGCCTACGGTGAAAAGGGAAATATCTTCCCATAAAAACTAGACAGAAGCAATCTCAGAATCTTCTTTGGGATATATGCACGCAGCTAACAGAGTTGAACCTTTCTATTGACAGAGCAGTTTTCAAACAGTCTTTCTGTGGAATCTGCAAGTGGATATTTAGATAGCTTGGAGGATTTCGTTGGTAACGGGATTACGTATAAAAATTAGCAGCATCCTCAGAAACTTCCTTGTGATGTGTGCATTCAAGACACAGAGTTGAACATTCCCTTTCGTACAGCAGTTTTGAAACACTCTTTCTGTAGTATCTGGAAGTGAACATTAGGACAGCTTTCAGGTCTATCGTGAGAAAGGAAATATCTTCACATAAAAACTAGACAGAAGCATTCTCATAAACTTGTTTGTGATGTGTGAACTCAGCTAACAGACGTGGATCTTTCTTTTGATATAGCAGTTTTGAAAAACACTTTTTGTTGAATCTGCAAGTGGACATTTGGATAGATTTGAAGATTTCGTTGGAAACGGGAATATCTTCATATCAAATCTAGACAGAAGCATTCTCAGAAACGTCTTTGTGATGTTTGCATTCAACCCATAGAGTTGAACATTCCGTTTCAGAGAGCAGCTTTGAAGCACTCTTTCTGTAGTATGTGCAAGGGGATATTTTGAGCGCTCTGAGGCCTAAGGTGAAAAAGCAAATATCTTCCCATAACCACTAGACAGAAACATTCTCAGAAACTCCTTTATGACGTATGCACTCACCTAACAGAGAAGAACCTTCCTTTTGACTGAGCAGTTTTGATACACTCTTTTTGTAGAATCTGCAAGTGGATATTTGGATAGCTGTGAAGATTTCGTTGGAAACGGGAATATCTTCCTATAAAATCTAGACAGAAGCATTCTCAGAAACTGCTCTGTGATGTCTGCATTCAAGTCACAGAGTTGAACATTGCCTTTCGTAGAGCAGGTTTGAAACGCTCTTTTTGTAGTATATGGAAGTGGACGTTTCGGACGGTTTGAGGCCCATGGTGATAAAGGGAATATCTTCCCCTACAAGCTAGAAAGAAGCATTCTGTGAAACTTGTTTGTGATGTGTGTACTCAACTAACAGAGTTGAACCTTTCTTTTTACATAGCAGTTTTGAAACACTCTTTTTGTAGAATCTGCGAGGGGATATTTGGATAGATTTCAGGATTTTGTTGGAAACGGGAATATCTTCATATAAAATCTCGACAGAAGCATTCTCAGAAACTTCCTTGTGATATGTGCATTCAAGTCACAGAGTTGAATATTCCCTTTCACAGAGTAGGTTTGAAACACTCTTTTTGTAGTATCTGGAAGTGGACATTTGGAGCGTCTTGACACCTACGGTGAAAAGGGAAATATCTTCCCATAAAAACTAGACAGAAGCAATCTCAGAATCTTCTTTGGGATATATGCACGCAGCTAACAGAGTTGAACCTTTCTATTGCCAGAGCAGTTTTGAAACAGTCTTTCTGTGGAATCTGCAAGTGGATATTTGGATAGCTTGGAGGATTTCGTTGGAAACGGGATTACGTATAAAAAGTAGACAGCAGCATCCTCAGAAACTTCTTTGTGATGTGTGCATTCAAGTCACAGAAGTTGAACATTCCCTTTCGTACAGCAGTTTTGAAACACTCTTTCTGTAGTATCTGCAAGTGAACATTAGGACAGCTTTCAGGTCTGTGGTGAGAAAGGAAATATCTTCAAATAAAAACTAGACAGAAGCATTCTCATAAACTTGTTTGTGATGTGTGAACTCAGCTTACAGAGGTGGATCTTTCTTTTGATAGAGCAGTTCTGAAAAACACTTTTTGTTGAATCTGCAAGTGGACATTTGGATAGATTTTAAGATTTCGTTGGAAACGGGAATATCTTCATATCAAATCTAGACAGAAGCATTCTCAGAAACGTCGTTGTAATGTTTGCATTCAACTCATAGAGTTGAACATTCCGATTCAGAGAGCAGCTTTGAGGCACTCTTTTTGTAGTATGTGCAAGTGGATATTTGGAGCGCTCTGAGGCCTACGGTGAAAAAGCAAATATCTTCCCATAACCACTAGACAGAAACATTCTCAGAAACTTCTTTATGACGTATGTACTCAACTAACAGAGAAGAACCTTCCTTTTGACAGAGCAGTTTTGATACACTCTTTTTGTAGAATCTGCAACTGGATATTTGGATAGCTGTGAAGAATTCGTTGGAAACGGGAATATCTTCCTATAAAATCTAAAGAAAAGCATTCTCAGAAACTGCTCTGTGATGTCTGCATTCAAGTCACAGAGTTGAACATTGCCTTTCATAGAGCAGGTTTGAAACGCTCTTTTTGTAGTATATGGAAGTTGACGTTTCACACGGTTTGAGGCCCATGGTGATAAAGGAAATATCTTCCCCTACAAGCTAGAAAGAAGCATTGTGTGAAACTTGTTTGTGATGTGTGTACTCAACTAACAGAGTTGAACCTTTCTTTTTACAGAGTAGTTTTGAAACACTCTTTTTGTAGAATCTGCGCGGGGATATTTGGATACATTTCAGGATTTCGTTGGAAACGGGAATATCTTCATATAAAATCTCGACAGAAAGCATTCTCAGAAACTTCTTTGTGATATGTGCATTCAAGTCACAGAGTTGAATATTCCCTTTCACAGAGTAGGTTTGAAACACTCTTTTTGTAGTATCTGGAAGTGGACATTTGGAGCGCCTTGACACCTACGGTGAAAAGGGAAGTATCTTCCCATCAAAACTAGACAGAAGCAATCTCAGAATCTTCTTTGGGATATATGCACGCAGCTAACAGAGTTGAACCTTTCTATTGACAGAGCAGTTTTGAAACAGTCTTTCTGTGGAATCTGCAAGTGGATATTTGGATAGCTTGGAGGATTTCGTTGGAAACGGGATTATGTATAAAAAGTAGACAGCAGCATCCTCAGAAACTTCTTTGTGATGTGTGCATTCAAGTCACAGAGTTGAACATTCCCTTTCGTACAGCAGTTTTGAAACACTCTTTCTGTAGTATCTGGAAGTGAACATTAGGACAGCTTTCAAGTCTATGGTGAGAAAGGAAACATCTTCAAATAAAAACTAGACAGACGCATTCTCATAAACTTGTTTGTGATGTGTGAACTCAGCTAACAGAGGTGGATCTTTCTTTTGATAGAGCAGTTCTGAAAAACACTTTTTGTTGAATCTGCAAGTGGACATTTGGATAGATTTGAAGATTTCGTTGGAAACGGGAATATCTTCATATCAAATCTAGACAGAAGCATTGTCAGAAACGTCTTTGTCATGTTTGCATTCAACTCATAGAGTTGAACATTCCCTTTCAGAGAGCAGCTTTGAAACACTCTTTTTGTAGTATGTGCAAGTGGATATTTGGAGCGCTTTGAGGCCTACGGGGAAAAAGCAAATATCTTCCCATAACCACTAGACAGAAACATTCTCAGAAACTCCTTTATGACGTATGCACTCACCTAACAGAAAAGAACCTTCCTTTTGACAGAGCAGTTTTGATACACTCTTTTTGTAGAATCTGCAAGTGGATATTTGGATAGCTGTGAAGATTTCGTTGGAAACGGGAATATCTTCCTATAAATCTAGACAGAAGCATTCTCAGGAACTGCTCTGTGATGTCTGCATTCAAGTCACAGAGTTGAACATTGCCTTAACTAGAGCAGGTTTGAAACGCTCTTTTTGTAGTATATGGAAGTGGACGTTTCGGACGTTTTGAGGCCCATGGTGATGAAGGGAATATCATCCCCTACAAGCTAGAAAGAAGCATTGTGTGAAACTTGTTTGTGATGTGTGTACTCAACTAACAGAGTTGAACCTTTCTTTTTACAGAGCAGTTTTGAAACACTCTTTTTGTAGAATCTGCGAGGGGATATTTGGATACATTTCAGGATTTCGTTGGAAACGGGAATATCTTCATATAAAATCTCGACAGAAGCATTCTCAGAAACTTCTTTGTGATATCTGCCTTCAAGTCACAGAGTTGAATATTCCCTTTCACACAGTAGGTTTGAAACACTCTTTTTGTAGTATCTGGAAGTGGACATTTGGAGCGCCTTGACACCTACGGTGAAAAGGGAAATATCTTCCCATAAAAACTAGACAGAAGCAATCTCAGAATCTTCTTTGGGATATATGCACGCAGCTAACAGAGTTGAACCTTTCTATTGACAGAGCAGTTTTGAAACAGTCTTTCTGTGGAATCTGCAAGTGGATATTTGGATAGCTTGGAGGATTTCGTTGGAAAAGGGATTACGTATAAAAAGTAGACAGCAGCATCCTCAGAAACTTCTTTGTGATGTGTGCATTCAAGTCACAGAGTTGAACATTCCCTTTCGTACAGCAGTATTGAAACACTCTTTCTGTAGTATCTGGAAGTGAACATTAGGACAGCTTTCAGGTCTATGGTGAGAAAGGAAATATCTTCAAATAAAAACTAGACAGAAGCATTCTCATAAACTTGTTTGTGATGTATGAACTCAGCTAACAGAGGTGGATCTATCTTTTGATAGAGCAGTTCTGAAAAACACTTTTTGTTGAATCTGCAAGTGGACATTTGGATAGTTTTGAAGATTTCGTTGGAAACGGGAATATCTTCATATCAAATCTAGACAGAAGCATTCTCAGAAACGTCTTTGTGATGTTTGCATTCAACCCATAGAGTTGAACATTCCCTTTCAGAGAGCAGCTTTGAAGCACTCTTTTTGTAGTATGTGCAAGGGGATATTTGGAGCGCTCTGAGGCCTAAGGTGAAAAATCAAATATCTTCCCATAACCACTAGACAGAAACATTCTCAGAAACTTCTTTATGACGTATGTACTCAACTAGCAGAGAAGAACTTTCCTTTTGACACAGCTTTTTGGATACACTCTTTTTGTAGTATCTGCATGTGGATATTTGATTAGCTGTGAAGATTTCGTTGGAATCGGGAATATCTTCCTATAAAGTCTGGACAGAAGCATTCTCAGAAACTGCTCTGTGATGTCTGCATTCAGGTCACAGAGTTGAACATTGCCTTTCATAGAGCAGGTTTAAAACACTCTTTTTTTACTATATGGAAGTGGACGTTTCGGACGGTTTGAGGCCCATGGTGATAAAGGAAATATCTTCCCCTAGAAGCAAGAAAGAAGCATTCTGTGAAACTTGTTTGTGATGTGTGTACTCAACTAACAGAGTTGAACCTTTCTTTTTACAGAGCAGTTTTGAAACACTCTTTTTGTAGAATCTGCGAGGGGATATTTGGATAGATTTCAGGATTTCTTTGGAAACGGGAATATCTTCATATAAAATACTCGACAGAAGCATTCTCAGAAACTTCTTTGTGATATCTGCATTCAAGTCAGAGAGTTGAATATTCCCTTTCACAGAGTAGGTTTGAAACACTCTTTTTGTAGTATCTGGAAGTGGACATTTGGAGCGCCTTGACACCTACGGTGAAAAGGGAAATATCTTCCCATAAAAACTAGACAGAAGCAATCTCAGAATCTTCTCTGGGATATATGCACGCAGCTAACAGAGTTGAACCTTTCTATTGACAGAGCAGTTTTGAAACAGTCTTTCTGTGGAATCTGCAAGTGGATATTTGGATAGCTTGGAGGATTTCGTTGGAAACGGGATTACGTACAAAAAGTAGACAGCAGCATCCTCAGAAACTTCTTTGTGATGTGTGCATTCAAGTCACAGAGTTGAACATTCCCTTTCATAGAGCAGTTTTGAAACACTGTTTCTGTAGTATCTGGAAGTGAACATTAGGACAGCTTTCAGGTCTATGGTGAGAAAGGAAATATCTTCAAATAAAAACTAGACAGAAGCATTCTCATAAACTTGTTTGTGATGTGTGAACTCAGCTAACAGACGTGGATCTTTCTTTTGATACAGCAGTTTTGAAAAACACATTTTGTTGAATCTGCAAGTGGACATTTGGATAGATATGAAGATTTCGTTGGAAACGGGAATATATTCATATCAAATCTAGACAGAAGCATTCTCAGAAACGTCTTTGTGATGTTTGCATTCAACTCATAGAGTTGAACATTCCCTTTCAGAGAGCAGCTTTGAAGCACTCTTTTTGTAGCATGTGCAAGTGGACATTTGGAGCGCCCTGAGGCCTACGGGGAAAAAGCAGATATCTTCCCATAACCACTAGACAGAAACATTCTCAGAAACTCCTTTATGATGTATGCACTCACCTAACGGAAAAGAACCTTCCTTTTGACAGAGCAGTTTTGATACACTCTTTTTGTAGAATCTGCAAGTGGATATTTGGATAGCTGTGAAGATTTCGTTGGAAACGGGAATATCTTCCTATAAAATCTAGACAGAAGCATTCTCAGAAACTGCTCTGTGATGTCTGCATTCAAGTCACAGAGTTGAACATTGCCTTTCATAGAGCAGGTTTGAAATGTTCTTTTTGTAGTATATGGAAGTGGACGTTTCAGACGGTTTGAGGCCGATGGTGATAAAGGGAATATCTTCCCCTACAAGCTAGAAAGAAGCATTCTGTGAAACTTGTTTGTGATGTGTGTACTCAAGTAACAGAGTTGAACCTTTCTTTTTACAGAGCAGTTTTGAAACACTCTTTTTGTAGAATCTGCGAGGGGATATTTGTATAGATTTCAGGATTTCGTTGGAAACGGGAATATCTTCATATAAAATCTCGACAGAAGCATTCTCAGAAACTTCATTGTGATATCTGCATTCAAGTCACAGAGTTGAATATTCCCTTTCACAGGGTAGGTTTGAAACACTCTTTTTGTAGTATCTGTAAGTGGACATTTGGAGCGCCTTGACACCTAAAGTGAAAAGGGAAATATCTTCCCATAAAAACTAGACAGAAGCAATCTCAGAATCTTCTTTGGGATATATGCACGCAGCTAACAGAGTTGAACCTTTCTATTGACAGAGCAGTTTTGAAACAGTCTTTCTGTGGAATCTGCAAGTGGATATTTGGATAGCTTGGAGGATTTCTTTGGAAACGGGATTACGTATAAAAAGTAGACAGCAGCATCCTCAGAAACTTCTTTGTGATGTATGCATTCAAGTCCCAGAGTTGAACATTCCCTTTCGTACAGCAGTTTTGAAACACTCTTTCTGTAGTATCTGGAAGTGAACATTAGGACAGATTTCAGGTCTATGGTGAGAAAGGAAATATCTTCAAATAAAAAGTAGACAGAAGCATTCTCATAAACTTGTTTGTGATGTGTGAACTCAGCTAACAGAGGTGGATCTTTCTTTTGATAGAGCAGTTCTGAAAAACACTTTTTGTTGAATCTGCAAGTGGACATTTGGATAGATTTGAAGATTTCGTTGGAAACGGGAATATCTTCATATCAAATCTAGACAGGAAAGCATTCTCAGAAACGTCTTTGTGATGTTTGCATTCAACTCACAGTATTTGAACATTCCCTTTCAGAGAGCAGCTTTGAAGCACTCTTTTTGTAGTATGTGCAAGGGGATATTTGGAGCGCTCTGAGGCCTACGGTGAAAAAGCAAATATCTTCCCATAACCACTAGACAGAAACATTCTCAGAAACTTCTTTATGACGTATGTACTCAACTAGCAGAAAAGAACTTTCCTTTTGACAGAGCTTTTTTGATACACTCTTTTTGTAGTATCTGCAAGTGGATATTTGGATAGCTGTGAAGATTTCTTTGGAATCGGGAATATCTTCCTATAAAGTCTGGACAGAAGCATTCTCAGAAACTGCTCTGTGATGTCTGCATTCAAGTCACAGAGTTGAACATTGCCTTTCATAGAGCAGGTTTCAAACACTCTTTTTTTAGTATATGGAAGTGGACGTTTCGGACGGTTTGAGGCCCATGGTGATAAAGGAAATATCTTCCCCTACAAGCTAGAAAGAAGCATTGTGTGAAACTTGTTTGTGATGTGTGTACTCAACTAACAGAGTTGAACCTTTCTTTTTACAGAGCAGTTTTGAAACACTCTTTTTGTAGAATCTGCAAGGGGATATTTGGATAGATTTCAGGATTTCGTTGGACACGGGAATATCTTCATATAAAATCTCGACAGAAGCATTCTCAGAAACTTGTTTGTGATATGTGCATTCAAGTCACAGAGTTGAATATTCCCTTTCACAGAGTAGGTTTGAAACACTCTTTTTGTAATATCTGGAAGTGGACATTTGGAGCGCCTTGACGCCTACGGTGAAAAGGGAAATATCTTCCCATAAAAACTAGACAGAAGCAATCTCAGAATCTTCTTTGGGATATATGCACGCAGCTAACAGAGTTGAACCTTTCTATTGACAGAGCAGTTTTGAAATAGTCTTTCTGTGGAATCTGCAAGTAGATATTTGGATAGCTTGGAGGATTTCGTTGGAAACGGGATTACGTATAAAAAGTAGACAGCAGCATCCTCAGAAACTTCTTTGTGATGTGTGCATTCAAGTCACAGAGTTGAACATTCCCTTTCGTACAGCAGTTTTGAAACACTCTTTCTGTAGTATCTGGAAGTGAACATTAGGACAGCTTTCAGCTCCATGGTGAGAAAGGAAATATCTTCAAATAAAAACTAGACAGAAGCATTCTCATAAACTTGTTTGTGATGTGTGAACTCAGCTAACAGAGGTGGATCTTTCTTTTGATAGAGCAGTTCTGAATAACACTTTTTGTTGAATCTGCAAGTGGACATTTGGATAGATTTGAAGATTTCGTTGGAAACGGGAATATCTTCATATCAAATCTAGACAGAAACATTCTCAGAAACGTCTTTGTGATGTTTGCATTCAACTCATGGAGTTGAACATTCCCTTTCAGAGAGCAGCTTTGAAGCACTCTTTTTGTAGTATGTGCAAGTGGATATTTGGAGCGCTCTGTGGCCTACGGGGAAAAAGCAAATATCTTCCCATAACCACTAGACAGAAACATTCTCAGAAACTCCTTTATGACGTATGTACTCAACTAACAGAGAAGAACCTTCTTTTTGACAGAGCAGTTTTGATACACTCTTTTTGTAGAATCTCCAAGTGGATATTTGGATAGCTGTGAAGATTTCGTTGGAAACGGGAATATCTTCCTATAAAATCTAGACAGAAGCATTCTCAGAAACTGCTCTGTGATGTCTGCATTCAAGTCACAGAGTTGAACATTGCCTTTCATAGAGCAGGTTTGAAACGCTCTTTTTGTAGTATATAAAAGTGGACGTTTCGGACGGTTTGAGGCCCATGGTCATAAAGGGAATATCTTCCCCTACAAGCTAGAAAGAAGCATTCTGTGAAACTTGTTTGTGATGTGTGTACTCAACTAACAGAGTTGAACCTTTCTTTTTACAGAGCAGTTTTGAAACACTCTTTTTGTAGAATCTGCGAGGGGATATTTGGATAGATTTCAGGATTTCGTTGGAAACGGGAATATCTTTATATAAAATCTCGACAGAAGCATTCTCAGAAACTTCTTTGTGATATGTGCATTCAAGTCACAGAGTTGAATATTCCCTTTCACAGAGTAGGTTTGAAACACTCTTTTTGTAGTATCTGGAAGTGGACATTTGGAGCGCCTTGACACCTACGGTGAAAAGGGAAATATCTTCCCATAAAAACTAGACAGAAAGCAATCTCAGAATCTTCTTTGGGATATATGCACGCAGCTAACAGAGTTGAACCTTTCTATTGACAGAGCAGTTTTGAAACAGTCTTTCTGTGGAATCTGCAAGTGGATATTTGGATAGCTTGGAGGATTTCGTTGGAAACGGGATTAAGTATAAAAAGTAGACAGAGCATCCTCAGAAACTTCTTTGTGATGTGTGCATTCAAGTCACAGAGTTGAACATTCCCTTTCGTACAGCAGTGTTGAAACACTCTTTATGTAGTATCTGGAAGTGAACATTAGGACAGCTTTCAGGTCTATGGTGAGAAAGGAAATATCTTCAAATAAAAACTAGACAGAAGCATTCTCATAAACTTGTTTGTGATGTGTGAACTCAGCTAACAGAGGTGGATCTTTCTTTTGATAGAGCAGTTCTGAAAAACACTTTTTGTTGAATCTGCAAGTGGACATTTGGATAGATTTGAATATTTCGTTGGTAACGGGAATATCTTCATATCAAATCTAGACAGAAGCATTCTCAGAAACGTCTTTGCGATGTTTGCATTCAACTCATAGAGTTGAACATTCCGTTTCAGAGAGCAGCTTTGAGGCAATCTTTTTGTAGTATGTGCAAGTGGATATTTGGAGCGCTCTGAGGCCTACGGTGAAAAAGCAAATATCTTCCCATAACCACTAGACAGAAACATTCTCAGAAACTCCTTTATGACGTATGCACTCACCTAACAGAGAAGAACCTTCCTTTTGACAGAGCAGTTTTGATACACTCTTTTTGTAGAATCTGCAAGTGGATATTTGGATAGCTGTGAAGATTTCATTGGAAACGGGAATATCTTCCTATAAAATCTAAACAGAAGCATTCTCAGAAACTGCTCTGTGATGTCTGCATTCAAGTCACAGAGTTGAACATTGCCTTTCATAGAGCAGTTTTGAAACGCTCTTTTTGTACTATATGGAAGAGGACGTTTCGGACGGTTTGAGGCCCATGGTGATAAAGGGAATATCTTCCCCTACAAGCTAGAAAGAAGCATTCTGTGAAACTTGTTTGTGATGTGTGTACTCAACTAACAGAGTTGAACCTTTCTTTTTACAGAGCAGTTTTGAAACACTCTTCTTGTAGAATCTGCGAGGGGATATTTGGATAGATTTCAGGATTTTGTTGGAAACGGGAATATCTTAATATAAAATCTCGACAGAAGCATTCTCAGAAGCTTCTTTGTGATATGTGCATTCAAGTCACAGAGTTGAATATTCCCTTTCACCGAGTAGGTTTGAAACACTCTTTTTGTAGTATCTGGAAGTGGACATTTGGAGCGCCTTGACGCCTACGGTGAAAAGGGAAATATCTTCCCATAAAAACTAGACAGAAGCAATCTCAGAATCTTCTTTGGGATATATGCACGCAGCTAACAGAGTTGAACCTTTCTATTGACAGAGCAGTTTTGAAACAGTCTTTCTGTGGAATCTGCAAGTGGGATATTTGGATAGCTTGGAGGATTTCGTTGGAAACGGGATTAAGTATAAAAAGTAGACAGCAGCCTCCTCAGAAACTTCTCTGTGATGTGTGCATTCAAGTCACAGAGTTGAACATTCCCTTTCGTACAGCAGTTTTGAAACACTCTTTCTGTAGTATCTGGAAGTGAACATTAGGACAGCTTTCAGGTCTATGGTGAGAAAGGAAATATATTCAAATAAAAACTAGACAGAAGAATTCTCATCAACTTGTTTGTGATGTGTGAACTCAGCTAACACACGTGGATCTTTCTTTTGATAGAGCAGTTCTGAAAAACACTTTGTTGAATCTGCAAGTGGACATTTGGATAGATTTCAAGATTTCGTTGGAAACGGGAATATCTTCATATCAAATCTAGACAGAAGCATCCTCAGAAACGTCTTGTGATGTTTGCATTCAACTCATAGAGTTGAACATTCCGTTTCAGAGAGCAGCTTTGAAGCACTCTTTTTGTAGTATGTGCAAATGGATATTTGGATCGCTGTGAGGCCTAAGGTGAAAAAGCAAATATCTTCCCATAACCACTAGACAGAAACATTCTCAGAAACTCCTTTATGACGTATGCACTCACCTAACAGAGAAGAACCTTCCTTTTGACAGAGCAATTTTGATACACTCTTTTTGTAGAATCTGCAAGTGGATATTTGGATAGCTGTGAAGATTTCGTTGGAAACGGGAATATCTTCCTATAAAATCTAGACAGAAGCATTCTCAGAAACTGCTCTGTGATGTCTGCATTCAAGTCACAGAGTTGAACATTGCCTTTCATAGAGCAGGTTTGAAACGCTCTTTTTGTAGTATATGGAAGTGGACATTTCGGACGGTTTGAGGCCCATGGTGATAAAGGGAATATCTTCCCCTACAAGCTAGAAAGAAGCATTCTGTGAAACTTGTTTGTGATGTGTGTACTCAAGTAACAGAGTTGAACCTTTCTTTTTACAGAGCAGTTTTGAAACACTCTTTTTGTAGAATCTGCGAGGGGATATTTGGATAGATTTCAGGATTTCGTTGGAAACGGGAATATCTTCATACAAAATCTCGACAGAAGCATTCTCAGAAACTTCTTTGTGATATCTGCCTTCAAGTCACAGAGTTGAATATTCCCTTTCTCAGAGTAGGTATGAAACACTCTTTTTGTAGTATCTGGAAGTGGACATTTGGAGCGACTTGACACCTACGGTGAAAAGGGAAATATCTTCCCATAAAAACTAGACAGAAGCAATCTCAGAATCTTCTTTGGGATATATGCACGCAGCTAACAGAGTTGAACCTTTCTATTGACCGAGCAGTTTTGAAACAGTCTTTCTGTGGAATCTGCAAGTGGATATTTTGATAGTTGGAGGATTTCGTTGGAAACGGGATTACGTATAAAAAGTAGACAGCCGCATCCTCAGAAACTTCTTTGTGATGTGTGCATTCAAGTCACAGAGTTGAACATTCCCTTTCGTACAGCAGTTTTGAAACACTCTTTCTGTAGTATCTGGAAGTGAACATTAGGACAGCTTTCAGGTCGATGGTGAGAAAGGAAATATCTTCAAATAAAAACTAAACAGAAGCATTCTCATAAACTTGTTTGTGATGTGTGAACTCAGCTAACAGACGTGGATCTTTCTTTTGATACAGCAGTTTTGAAAAACACTTTTTGTTGAATCTGCAAGTGGACATTTGGATAGATTTGAAGATTTCCGTTGGAAACGGGAATATCTTCATATCAAATCTAGACAGAAGCATTCTCAGAAACGTCTTTGTGATGTTTGCATTCAACTCATAGAGTTGAACATTCCGTTTCAGAGAGCAGCTTTGAAGCACTCTTTTTGTAGTATGTGCAAGGGGATATTTTGAGCGCTCTGAGGCCTAAGGTGAAAAAGCAAATATCTTCCCATAACCACTAGACAGAAACATTCTCAGAAACTCCTTTATGACGTATGTACTCAACTAACAGAGAAGAACCTTCCTTTTGACAGAGCAGTTTTGATACCCTCTTTTTGTAGAATCTGCAAGTGGATATTTGGATAGCTGTGAAGATTTCGTTGGAAACGGGAATATCTTCCTATAAAATCTAGACAGAAGCATTCTCAGAAACTGCTCTGTGATGTCTGCATTCAAGTCACAGAGTTGAACATTGCCTTTCATAGAGCAGGTTTGAAACGCTCTTTTTGTTGTATATGGAAGTGGACGTTTCGGACGGTTTGAGGCCCATGGTGATAAAGGGAATATCTTCCCCTACAAGCTAGAAAGAAGCATTGTGTGAAACTTGTTTGTGATGTGTGTACTCAACTAACAGAGTTGAACCTTTCTTTTTACAGAGCAGTTTTGAAACACTCTTTTTGTAGAATCTGCGAGCGGATATTTGGATAGATTTCAGGATTTCGTTGGAAACGGGAATATCTTCATATAAAATCTCGACAGAAGCATTCTCAGAAACTTCTTTGTGATATCTGCATTCAAGTCACAGAGTTGAATATTCCCTTTCACAGAGTAGGATTGGAACACTCTTTTTGTAGTATCTGGAAGTGGACATTTGGAGCGCCTTGACGCCTACGGTGAAAAGGGAAATATCTTCCCATAAAAACTAGACAGAAGCAATCTCAGAATCTTCTTTGGGATATATGCACGCAGCTAACAGAGTTGAACCTTTCTATTGACAGAGCAGTTTTGAAACAGTCTTTCTGTGGAATCTGCAAGTGGATATTTGGATAGCTTGGAGGTTTTCTTTGGAAACGGGATTACGTATAAAAAGTAGACTGCAGCATCCTCAGAAACTTCTTTGTGATGTGTGCATTCAAGTCACAGAGTTGAACATTCCCTTTCGTACAGCAGTTTTGAAACACTCTTTCTGTAGTATCTGGAAGTGAACATTAGGACAGCTTTCAGGTCTATGGTGAGAAAGGAAATATCATCAAATGAAAACTAGACAGAAGCATTCTCATAAACTTGTTTGTGATGTGTCAACTCAGCTAAGAGAGGTGGATCTTTCTTTTGATAGAGCAGTTCTGAAAAACACTTTTTGTTGAATCTGCAAGTGGACATTTGGATAGATTTGAAGATTTCGTTGGAAACGGGAATATCTTCATATCAAATCTAGACAGAAGCATTCTCGGAAACGTCTTTGTGATGTTTGCATTCAACTCAAGGAGTTGAACATTCACTTTCAGAGAGCAGCTTTGAAGCACTCTTTTTGTAGTATGTGCAAGTGGATATTTGGATCGCTCTGAGGCCTAAGGTGAAAAAGCAAATATCTTCCCATAACCACTAGACAGAAACATTCTCAGAAACTCCTTTATGACGTATGCACTCACCTAACAGAAAAGAACCTTCCTTTTGACAGAGTAGTTTTGATACACTCTTTTTGTAGAATCTGCAAGTGGATATTTGGATAGCTGTGAAGATTTCGTTGGAAACGGGAATATCTTCCTATAAAATCTAGACAGAAGCATTCTCAGAAACTGCTCTGTGATGTCTGCATTCAAGTCACAGAGTTGAACATTGCCTTTCATACAGCAGGTTTGAAACGCTCTTTTTGTAGTATATGGAAGTGGACTTATCGGACGGTTTGAGGCCCATGGTGATAAAGGGAATATCTTCCCCTACAAGCTAGAAAGAAGCATTCTGTGAAACTTGTTTGTGATGTGTGTACTCAACTAACAGAGTTGAACCTTTCTTTTTACAGAGCAGTTTTGAAACACTCTTTTTGTAGAATCTGTGAGGGGATATTTGGATAGATTTCAGGATTTTGTTGGAAACGGGAATATCTTCATATAAAATCTCGACAGAAGCATTCTCAGAACCTTCTTTGTGATATCTGCATTCAAGTCACAGAGTTGAATATTCCCTTTCACTGAGTAGGTTTGAAACACTCTTTTTGTAGTATCTGGAAGTAGACATTTGGAGCGCCTTGACGCCTACGGTGAAAAGGGAAATATCTTCTCATAAAAAGTAGACAGAAGAAATCTCAGAATCTTCTTTGGGACATATGCACGCAGCTAACAGAGTTGAACCTTTCTATTGACAGAGCAGTTTTGAAACAGTCTTTCTGTGGAATCTGCAAGTGGATATTTGGTTAAATTGGAGGATTTCGTTGGAAACGGGATTACGTATAAAAATAGACAGCAGCATCCTCAGAAACTTCTTTGTGATGTGTGCATTCAAGTCACAGAGTTGAACATTCCCTTTCGTACAGCAGTTTTGAAACACTCTTTCTGTAGTATCTGGAAGTGAACATTAGGCCAGCTTTCAGGTCTATGGTGAGAAAGGAAATATCTTCAAATAAAAACTAGACAGAAGCATTCTCATAAACTTGTTTGTGATGTGTGAACTCAGCTAACAGAGGTGGATCTTTCTTTTGATAGAGCAGTTTTGAAAAACACTTTTTGTTGAATCTGCAAGTGGACATTTGGATAGATATGAAGATTTCGTTGGAAACGGGAATATCTTCATATCAAATCTAGACAGAAAGCATTCTCAGAAACGTCTTTGTGATGTTTGCATTCAACTCATAGAGTTGAACATTCCGTTTCAAAGAGCAGCTTTGAGGCACTCTTTTTGTAGTATGTGCAAGTGGATATTTGGAGCGCTCTGAGGCCTACGGTGAAAAAGCAAATATCTTCCCATAACCACTAGACAGAAACATTCTCAGAAACTCCTTTATGACGTATGCACTCACCTAACAGAGAAGAACCTTCCTTTTGACAGAGCAGTTTTGATACACTCTTTTTGTAGAATCTGCAAGTGGATATTTGGATAGCTGGGAAGATTTCGTTGGAAACGGGAATATCTTCCTATAAAATCTAGACAGAAGCATTCTCAGCAAACTGCTCTGTGATGTCTGCATTCAAGTCACAGAGTTGAACATTGCCTTTCATAGAGCAGGTTTGAAACGCTCTTTTTGTAGTATATGTAAGTAGACGTTTCGGACGGTTTGAGGCCCATGGTGATAAAGGGAATATCTTCCCCTACAAGCTAGAAAGAAGCATTCTGTGAAACTTGTTTGTGATGTGTGTACTCAACTAACAGAGTTGAACCTTTCTTTTTACAGAGCAGTTTTGAAACACTCTTTTTGTAGAATCTGCGAGGGGATATTTGGATAGATTTCAGGATTTCGATGGAAACGGGAATATCTTCATATAAAATCTCGACAGAAGCATTCTCAGAAACTTCTTTGTGATATCTGCATTCAAGTCACAGAGTTGAATATTCCCTTTCACAGAGTAGGTTTGAAACACTCTTTTTGTAGTATCTGGAAGTGGACATTTGGAGCACCTTGACACCTATGGTGAAAAGGGAAATATCTTCCGATAAAAACTAGACAGAAGCAATCTCAGAATCTTCTTTGGGATATATGCACGCAGCTAACAGAGTTGAACCTTTCTATTGACAGAGCAGTTTTGAAACAGTCTTTCTGTGGAATCTGCAAGTGGATATTTGGATAGCTTGGAGGATTTCGTTGGTAACGGGATTACGTATAAAAAGTAGACAGCAGCATCCTCAGCAAACTTCTTTGTGATGTGTGCATTCAAGTCACAGTAGTTGAACATTCCCTTTCGTACAGCAGTTTTGAAACACTCTTTCTGTAGTATCTGGAAGTGAACATTAGGACAGCTTTCAGGTCTATGGTGAGAAAGGAAATATCTTCAAATAAAAACTAGACAGAAGCATTCTGATAAACTTGTTTGTGAAGTGTGAACTCAGCTAACAGAGGTGGATCTTTCTTTTGATAGAGCAGTTCTGAAAAACACTTTTTGTTGAATCTGCAAGTGGACATTTGGATAGATTTGAAGATTTCGTTGGAAACGGGAATATCTTCATATCAAATACTAGACAGAAGCATTCTCAGAAACGTCTTTGTGATGTTTGCATTCAACTCATAGAGTTGAACATTCCCTTTCAGAGAGCAGCTTTGAAGCACTCTTTTTGTAGTATGTGCAAGTGGACATTTGGAGCGCTCTGAGGCCTACGGTGAAAAAGCAAATATCTTCCCATAACCACTAGACAGAAACATTCTCAGAAACTCCTTTATGACGTATGCACTCACCTAACAGAGAAGAACCTTCCTTTTGACAGAGGAGTTTTGATACACTCTTTTTGTAGAATCTGCAAGTGGATATTTGGATAGCTGTGAAGATTTCGTTGGAAACGGGAATATCTTCCTATAAAATCTAGACAGAAGCATTCTCAGAAACTGCTCTGTGATGTCTGCATTCAAGTCACAGAGTTGAACATTGCCTTTCATAGAGCAGGTTTGAAACGCTCTTTTTTTAGTATATGGAAGTGGACTTATCGGACGGTTTGAGGCCCATGGTGATAAAGGGAATATCTTCCCCTACAAGCTAGAAAGAAGCATTCTGTGAAACTTGTTTGTGATGTGTGTACTCAACTAACAGAGTTGAACCTTTCTTTTTAAAGAGCAGTTTTGAAACACTCTTTTTGTAGAATCTGCGAGGGGATATTTGGATAGATTTCAGGATTTCGTTGGAAACGGGAATATCTTCTTATAAAATCTCGACAGAAGCATTCTCAGAAACTTCTTTGTGATATCTGCATTACAGTCACAGAGTTGAATATTCCCTTTCACAGAGGAGGTTTGAAACACTCTTTTTATAGTATCTGGAATTGGACATTGGAGCGCCTTGACGCCTACGGTGAAAAGGGAAATATCTTCCCATAAAAACTAGACAGAAGCAATCTCAGAATCTTCTTTGGGATATATGCACGCAGCTAACAGAGTTGAACCTTTCTATTGACAGAGCAGTTTTGAAACAGTCTTTCTGTGGAATCTGCAAGTGGATATTTGGATAGCTTGGAGGATTTCTTTGGAAACGGGATTACGTATAAAAAGTAGACAGCACCATCCTCAGAAACTTCTTTGTGATGTGTGCATTCAAGTCACAGAGTTGAACATCCCGTTTCGTACAGCAGTTTTGAAACACTCTTTCTGTAGTATCTGGAAGTAAGCATTAGGATAAGCATTAGGACAGCTTTCAGGTCTATGGTGAGAAAGGAAATATCTTCAAATAAAAACTAGACAGAAGCATTCTCATAAACTTGTTTGTGATGTGTGAACTCAGCTAACAGAGGTGGATACTTCTTTTGATAGAGCAGTTCTGAAAAACACTTTTAGTTGAATCTGCAAGTGGACATTTGGATAGATTTGAAGATTTCGTTGGAAACGGGAATATCTTCATATCAAATCTAGACAGAAGCATTCTCAGAAACGTCTTTGTGATGTTTGCATTCAACTCATAGAGTTGAACATTCCGTTTCAGAGAGCAGCTTTGAAGCACTCTTTTTGTAGTATGTGCAAGTGGATATTTGGATCGCTGTGAGGCCTAAGGTGAAAAAGCATATATCTTCCCATAACCACTAGACAGAAACATTCTCAGAAACTGCTTTATGACGTATGCACTCACCTAACAGAGAAGAACCTTCCTTTTGACAGAGCAGCTTTGATACACTCTTTTTGTAGAATCTGCAAGTGGATATTTGGATAGCTGTGAAGATTTCGTTGGAAACGGGAATATCTTCCTATAAAATCTAGACAGAAGCATTCTCAGAAACTGCTCTGTGATGTCTGCATTCAAGTCACAGAGTTGAACATTGCCTTTCATAGAGCAGGTTTGAAACGCTCTTTTTGTAGAATATGGAACTGGATGTTTCGGACGGTTGGAGGCCCATGGTGATAAAGGGAATATCTTCCCCTACAAGCTAGAAAGAAGCATTGTGTGAAACTTCTTTGTGATGTGTGTACTCAACTAACAGAGTTGAACCTTTCTTTTTACAGAGCAGTTTTGAAACACTCTTTTTGTAGAATCTGCAAGGGGATATTTGGATACATTTCAGGATTTCGTTGGAAACGGGAATATCTTCATATAAAATCTCGACAGAAGCATTCTCAGAAACTTCTTTGTGATATCTGCATTCAAGTCACAGAGTTGAATATTCCCTTTCACAGAGTAGGTTTGAAACACTCTTTTTGTAGTATCTGGAAGTGGACATTTGGAGCGTCTTGACACCTACGGTGAAAAGGGAAATATCTTCCCATAAAAACTAGACAGAAGCAATCTCAGCAATCTTCTTTGGGATATATGTACGCAGCTAATAGAGTTGAACCTTTCTATTGACAGAGCAGTTTTGAAACAGTCTTTCTGTGGAATCTGCAAGTGGATATTTGGATAGCTTGGAGGATTTCGTTGGAAACGGGATTACGTATAAAAAGTAGACAGCAGCATCCTCAGAAACTTCTTTGTGATGTGTGCATTCAAGTCACAGAGTTCAACATTCCCTTTCGTACAGCAGTTTTGAAACACTCTTTCTGTAGTATCTGGAAGTGAACATTAGGACAGCTTTCAGGTCTATGGTGAGAAAGGAAATATCTTCAAATAAAAACTATACAGAAGCATTCTCATAAACTTGTTTGTGATGTGTGAACTCAGCTAACAGAGGTGGATCTTTCTTTTGATAGTGCAGTTCTGAAAAACACTTTTTGTTGAATCTGCAAGTGGACATTTGGATAGATTTGAAGATTTCGTTGGAAACGGGAATATCTTCATATCAAATCTAGACAGAAGCATTCTCAGAAACGTCTTTGCGATGTTTGCATTCAACTCATAGAGTTGAACATTCCGTTTCAGAGAGCAGCTTTGAAGCACTCTTTTTGTAGTATGTGCAAGGGGATATTTGGAGCGCTCTGAGGCCTACGGTGAAAAAGCAAATATCTTCCCATAATCACTAGACAGAAACATTCTCAGAAACTCCTTTATGACGTATGCACTCATCTAACAGAGAAGAACCTTCCTTTTGACAGAGCAGTTTTGATACACTCTTTTTGTAGAATCTGCAAGTGGATATTTGGATAGCTGTGAAGATTTCGTTGGAAACGGGAATATCTTCCTATAAAATCTAGACAGAAGCATTCTCAGAAACTGCTCTGTGATGTCTGCATTCAAGTCACAGAGTTGAACATTGCCTTTCATAGAGGAGGTTTCAAACACTCTTTTTGTAGTATATGGAAGTGGACGTTTCGGACGGTTTGAGGCCCATGGTGATAAAGGGAATATCTTCCCCTACAAGCTAGAAAGAAGCATTCTGTGAAACTTGTTTGTGCTGTGTGTACTCAACTAACAGAGTTGAACCTTTCTTTTTACAGAGCAGTTTTGAAACACTCTTTTTGTAGAATCTGCGAGGGGATATTTGGATAGATTTCAGGATTTCGTTGGAAACGGGAATATCTTCATATAAAATCTCGACAGAAGCATTCTCAGAAACTTCTTTGTGATATGTGCATTCAAGTCACAGAGTTGAATATTCCCTTTCAGAGAGTAGGTTTGAAACACTCCTTTTGTAGTATCTGGAAGTGGACATTTGGAGCGCCTTGACGCCTACGGTGAAAAGGGAAATATCTTCCCATAAAAACTAGACAGAAGCAATCTCAGAATCTTCTTTGGGATATATGCACGCAGCTAACAGAGTTGAACCTTTCTATTGACAGAGCAGTTTTGAAATAGTCTTTCTGTGGAATCTGCAAGTAGATATTTGGATAGCTTGGAGGATTTCGTTGGAATCGGGATTACGTATAAAAAGTAGACAGCAGCATCCTCAGCAAACTTCTTTGTGATGTGTGCATTCAAGTCACAGAGTTGAACATTCCCTTTCGTACAGCAGTTTTGAAACACTCTTTCTGTAGTAACTGGAAGTGAACACTAGGACAGCTTTCAGGTCTATGGTGAGAAAGGAAATATCTTCAAATAAAAACTAGACAGAAGCATTCTCATAAACTTGTTTGTGATGTGTGAACTCAGCTAACAGAGGTGGATCTTTCTTTTGATAGAGCAGTTCTGAAAAACACTTTTTGATGAATCTGCAAGTGGACATTTGGATAGATTTGAAGATTTCGTTGGAAACGGGAATATCTTCATATCAAATCTAGACAGAAGCATTCTCAGAAACGTCTTTGTGATGCTTGCATTCAACTCATAGTAGTTGAACATTCCCTTCCAGAGAGCAGCTTTGAAGCACTCTTTTTATAGTATGTGCAAGGGGATATTTGGAGCGCTCTGAGGCCTAAGGTGAAAAAGCAAATATCTTCCCATAACCACTAGACAGAAACATTCTCAGAAACTCCTTTATGACGTATGCACTCAACTAACAGAAAAGAACCTTCCTTTTGACAGAGCAGTTTTGATACACTCTTTTTGTAGAATCTGCAAGTGGATATTTGGATAGCTGTGAAGATTTCGTTGGAAACGGGAATATCTTCCTATAAAATCTAGACAGAAGCATTCTCAGAAACTGCTCTGTGATGTCTGCATTCAAGTCACAGAGTTGAACATTGCCTTTCATAGAGCAGGTTTGAAACGCTCTTTTTGTAGTATATGGAAGTAGACGTTTCGGACGGTTTGAGGCCCATGGTTATAAAGGGAATATCTTCCCCTACAAGCTAGAAAGAAGCATTCCGTGAAACTTGTTTGTGATGTGTGTACTCAACTAACAGAGTTGAACCTTCCTTTTCACAGAGCAGTTTTGAAACACTCTTTTTGTAGAATCTGCGAGGGGATATTTGGATAGATTTCAGGATTTCGTTGGAAACGGGAATATCTTCATATAAAATCTCGACAGAAGCATTCTCAGAAACTTCTTTGTGATATGTGCATTCAAGTCACAGAGTTGAATATTCCCTTTCACAGAGTAGGTTTGAAACACTCTTTTTGTAGTATCTGGAAGTGGACATTTGGAGCGCCTTGACACCTACGGTGAAAAGTGAAATATCTTCCCATAAAAACTAGACAGAAGCAATCTCAGAATCTTCTTTGAGATATATGCACGCAGCTAATAGAGTTGAACCTTTCTATTGACAGAGCAGTTTTGAAACAGTCTTTCTGTGGAATCTGCAAGTGGATATTTGGATAGCTTGGAGGATTTCGTTGGAAACGGGATTACGTATAAAAAGTAGACAGCAGCATCCTCAGAAACTTCCTTGTGATGTGTGCATTCAAGTCACAGAGTTGAACATTCCCTTTCATACAGCAGTTTTGAAACACTCTTTCTGTAGTATCTGGAAGTGAACATTAGGACAGCTTTCAGGTCTATGGTGAGAAAGGAAATATCTTCAAATAAAAACTAGACAGAAAGCATTCTCATAAACTTGTTTGTGATGTGTGAACTCAGCTAACAGAGGTGGATCTTTCTTTTGATAGAGCAGTTCTGAAAAACACTTTTTGTTGAATCTGCAAGTGGAGATTTGGATAGATTTGAAGATTTCGTTGGAAACGGGAATATCTTCATATCAAATCTAGACAGAAGCATTCTCAGAAACGTCTTTGTGATGTTTGCATTCAACTCATAGAGTTGAACATTCCGTTTCAGAGAGCAGCTTTGAAGCACTCTTTTTGTAGTATGTGCAAGTGGATATTTGGAGAGCTCTGACGCCTACGGTGAAAAAGCAAATATCTTCCCATAACCACTAGACAGAAACATTCTCAGAAACTCCTTTATGACGTATGCACTCACCTAACAGAGAAGAACCTTCCTTTTGACAGAGCAGGTTTGATACACTCTTTTTGTAGAATCTGCAAGTGGATATTTGGATAGCTGTGAAGATTTTGTTGGAAACGGGAATATCTTCCTATAAAATCTAGACAGAAGCATTCTCAGAAACTGCTCTGTGATGTCTGCATTCAAGTCACAGAGTTGAACATTGCCTTTCATAGAGCAGGTTTGAAACGCTCTTTTTGTAGTATATGGAAGTGGATGTTTCAGACGGTTGGAGGCCCATGGTGATAAAGGGAATATCTTCCCCTACGAGCTAGAAAGAAGCATTCTGTGAAACTTGTTTGTGATGTGTGTACTCAACTAACAGAGTTGAACCTTTCTTTTCACAGAGCAGTTTTGAAACACTCTTTTTGTAGAATCTGCGAGGGGATATTTGGATAGATTTCAGCATTTCGTTGGAAACGGGAATATCTTCATATAAAATCTCGACAGAAGCATTCTCAGAAACTTCTTTGTGATATGTGCATTCAAGTCACAGAGTTGAATATTCCCTTTCACAGAGTAGGTTTGAAACACTCTTTTTGTAGTGTCTGGAAGTGGACATTTGGAGCGCCTTGACGCCTACGGTGAAAAGGGAAATATCTTCCCATAAAAACTAGACAGAAGCAATCTCAGAATCTTCTTTGGGATATATGCACGCAGCTAACAGAGTTTAACCTTTCTATTGACAGAGCAGTTTTGAAACAGTGTTTCTGTGGAATCTGCAAGTGGATATTTGGATAGATTGGAGGATTTCGTTGGAAACGGGATTACATATAAAAAGTAGACATCAGCATCCTCAGAAACTTCTTTGTGATGTGTGCATTCAAGTCACAGAGTTGAACATTCCCTTTCGTACAGCAGTTTTGAAACACTCTTTCTGTATTATCTGGGAGTGAACATTAGGACAGCTTTCAGGTCTATGGTGAGAAAGGAAATATCTTCAAATAAAAACTAGACAGAAAGCATTCTCATAAACTTGTTTGTGATGTGTGAACTCAGCTAACAGAGGTGGATCTTTCTTTTGATAGAGCAGTTCTGAAAAACACTTTTTTTTGAATCTGCAAGTGGACATTTGGATAGATTTGAAGATTTCTTTGGAAACGGGAATATCTTCATATCAAATCTAGACAGAAGCATTCTCAGAAACGTCTTTGTGATGTTTGCATTCAACTCATAGAGTTGAACATTCCGTTTCAGAGAGCAGCTTTGAAGCACTCTTTTTGTAGTATGTGCAAGTGGATATTTGGAGCGCTCTGAGGCCTACGGGGAAAAAGCAAATATCTTCCCATAAACACTAGACTGAAACATTCTCAGAAACTCCTTTATGACGTATGCACTCACCTAACAGAGAAGAACCTTCCTTTTGACAGAGCAGTTTTGATACACTCTTTTTGTAGAATCTGCAAGTGCATATTTGGATAGCTGTGAAGATTTCGTTGGAAACGGGAATATCTTCCTATAAAATCTAGACAGAAGCATTCTCAGAAACTGCTCTGTGATGTCTGCATTCAAGTCACAGAGTTGAACATTGCCTTTCATGGAGCAGGTTTGAAACGGTCTTTTTGTAGTATATGGAAGTGGACGATTCGGACGGTTTGAGTCCCATGGTGATAAAGGGAATATCTTCCCCTACAAGCTAGAAAGAAGCATTCTGTGAAACTTGTTTGTGATGTGTGTACTCAACTAACAGAGTTGAACCTTTCTTTTTACAGAGCAGTTTTGAAACACTCTTTTTGTAGAATCTGCGAGGGGATATTTGGATAGATTTCAGGATTTCCTTGGAAACGGGAATATCTTCATATAAAATCTCGACAGAAGCATTCTCATAAACTTCTTTGTGATGTGTGAACTCAGCTAACCGAGGTGGATCTTTCTTTTGATAGAGCAGTTCTGAAAAAAACTTTTTGTTGAATCTGCAAGTGGACATTTGGATAGATTTGAAGATTTCGTTGGGAACGGGAATATCTTCATATCAAATCTAGACAGAAGCAATCTCAGAATCTTCCTTGGGATATATGCACGCAGTTAACAGAGTTGAACCTTTCTATTGACAGAGCAGTTTTGAAACAGTCTTTCCGTGGAATCTGCAAGTGGATATTTGGTTAGCTTGGAGGATTTCGTTGGAAACGGGATTACGTATAAAAATTAGACAGCAGCATCCTCAGAAACTTCTTTGTGATGTGTGCATTCAAGTCACAGATTTGAACATTTCCTTTCGTACAGCAGCTTTGAAACACTCTTTCTGTAGTATCTGGAAGTGAACATTAGGACAGCTTTCAGGTCTATGGTGAGAAAGGAAATATCTTCAAATAAAAACTAGACAGAATCATTCTCATAAACTTGTTTGTGATGTGTGAACTCAGCTAACAGAGGTGGATCTTTCTTTTGATAGAGCAGTTCTGAAAAACACTTTTTGTTGAATCTGCAAGTGGACATTTGGATAGATTTGAAGATTTCGTTGGAAACGGGAATATCTTCATATCAAATCTAGACAGAAAGCATTCTCAGAAACGTCTTTGCGATGTTTGCATTCAACTCATAGAGTTGAACATTCCCTTTGAGTGAGTAGCTTTGAAGCACTCTTTTTGTAGCATGTGCAAGTGGACATTTGGAGCGCCCTGAGGCCTACGGGGAAAAAGCAAATATCTTCCCATAACCACTAGACAGAAACATTCTCAGAAACTCCTTTATGACCTATGCACTCACCTAAAAGAGAAGAACCTTCCTTTTGACAGAGCAGTTTTGATACACTCTTTTTGTAGAATCTGCAAGTGCATATTTGGATAGCTGTGAAGATTTCGTTGGAAACGGGAATATCTTCCTATAAAATCTAGACAGAAGCATTCTCAGAAACTGCTCTGTGATGTCTGCATTCAAGTCACAGAGTTGAACATTGCCTTTCATTTAGCAGGTTTGAAACGCTCTTTTTGTAGTATATGGAAGTGGACGTTTCGGACGGTTTGAGGCCCATGGTGATAAAGGCAATATCTTCCCCTACAAGCTAGAAAGAAGCATTCTGTGAAACTTGTTTGTGATGTGTGTACTCAACTAACAGAGTTGAACCTTTCTTTTTACAGAGCAGTTTTGAAACACTCTTTTTGTAGAATCTGCGAGGGGATATTTGGATACATTTCAGCATTTCGTTGGAAACGGGAATATCTTCATACAAAATCTCGACAGAAGCATTCTCAGAAACTTCCTTGTGATATGTGCATTCAAGTCACAGAGTTGAATATTCCCTTTCACAGAGTAGGTTTGGAACACTCTTTTTGTAGTATCTGGAAGTGGACATTTGGAGCGCCTTGACGCCCACGGTGAAAAGGGAAATATCTTCCCATAAAAACTAGACAGAAGCAATCTCAGAATCTTCTTTGGGATATATGCACGCAGCTAACAGAGTTGAACTTTTCTATTGACAGAGCAGTTTTGAAACAGTCTTTCTGTGGAATCTGCAAGTGGATATTTGGATAGCTTGGAGGATTTCGTTTGAAACGGGATTACGTATAAAAAGTAGACAGCAGCATCCTCAGAAACTTCTTTGTGATGTGTGCATTCAAGTCACAGAGTTGAACATTCCCTTTCGTACAGCAGTTTTGAAACACTCTTTCTGTAGTATCTGAAGTGAACAATAGGACAGCTTTCAGGTCTATGGTGAGAAAGGAAATATCTTCAAATAAAAACTAGACAGAAGCATTCTGATAAACTTGTTTTTGAAGTGTGAACTCAGCTAACAGAGGTGGATCTTTCTTTTGATAGAGCAGTTCTGAAAAACACTTTGTTGAATCTGCAAGTGGACATTTGGATAGATTTGAAGATTTCGTTGGAAACGGGAATATCTTCATATCAAATCTAGACAGAAGCATTCTCAGAAACGTCTTTGTGATGATTGCATTTAACTCATAGAGTTGAACATTCCGTTTCAGAGAGCAGCTTTGAAACACTCTTTTTGTAGTATGTGCAAGTGGATATTTGGAGCGCTCTGAGGCCTAAGGTGAAAAAGCAAATATCTTCCCATAACCACTAGACAGAAACATTCTCAGAAACTTATTTATGACGTATGTACTCAAGTAGCAGAGAAGAACTTTCCTTTTGACAGAGAACTTTGGATACACACTTTTTGTAGTATCTGCAAGTGGATATTTGGATAGGTGTGAAGATTTCGTTGGAAACGGGAATATCTTCATATCAAATCTGACAGAAGCATTCTCAGAAACTGCTCTGTGATGTCTGCATTCAAGTCACAGAGTTGAACATTGCTTTTCATAGAGCAGGTTTGAAACGCTCTTTTTGTAGTATATGGAAGTAGACGTTTCGGACGGTTTGAGGCCCATGGTGATAAACGGAATATCTTCCCCTACAAGCTAGAAAGAAGCATTCTGTGAAACTTGTTTGTGATGTGTGTACTCAACTAACAGAGTTGAACCTTTCTTTTTACAGAGCAGTTTTGAAACACTCTTTTTGTAGAATCTGCGAGGGGATATTTGGATTGATTTCAGGATTTCGTTGGAAACGGGAATATCTTCATATAAAATCTCGACAGAAGCATTCTCAGAAACTTCTTTGTGATATCTGCATTCAAGTCACAGAGTTGAATATTCCCTTTCACAGAGTAGGTTTGAAACACTCTTTTTGTAGTATCTGGAAGTGGACATTTGGAGAGCCTTGACGCCTACGGTGAAAAGGGAAATATCTTCCCATAAAAACTAGACAGAAGCAATCTCAGAATCTTCTTTGTGATATATGCACGCAGCTAACAGAGTTGAACCTTTCTATTGACAGAGCAGTTTTGAAACAGTCTTTCTGTGGAATCTGCAAGTGGATATTTGGATAGCTTGGAGGATTTCGTTGGAAACGGGATTACGTATAAAAATTAGACAGCAGCATCCTCAGAAACTTCTTTGTGATGTGTGCATTCAAGTCACAGTGTTGAACATTCCCTTTCGTACAGCAGTTTTGAAACACTCTTTCTGTAGTATCTGGAAGTGAACATTAAGACAGCTTTCAGGTCTATGGTGAGAAAGGAAATATCTTCAAATAAAAACTAGACAGAAGCATTCTCATAAACTTGTTTGTGATGTGTGAACTCAGCTAACAGAGGTGGATCTTTCTTTTGATAGAGCAGTTCTGAAAAACACTTTTTGTTGAATCTGCAAGTGGACATTTGAATAGATTTGAAGATTTCGTTGGAAACGGGAATATCTTCATATCAAGTCTAGACAGAAGCATTCTCAGAAACGTCTTTGTGATGTTGGCATTCAAATCATAGAGTTGAACATTCCGTTTCAGAGAGCAGCTTTGAGGCACTCTTTTTGTAGTATGTGCAAGTGGATATTTGGAGCGCTCTGAGGCCTACGGTGAAAAAGCAAATATCTTCCCATAACCACTAGACAGAAACATTCTCAGAAACTTCTTTATGACGTATGTACTCAACTAACAGAGAAGAACCTTCCTTTTGACAGAGCAGTTTTGATACACTCTTTTTGGAGAATCTGCAAGTGGATATTTGGATATCTGTGAAGAATTCCTTGGAAACGCAAATATCTTCCTATAAAATCTAAACAAAAAGCATTCTCAGAAACTGCTCTGTGATGTCTGCATTCAAGTCACAGAGTTGAACATTGCCTTTCATAGAGCAGGTTTGAAAGGCTCTTTTTGTAGTATATGGAAGTGGACGTTTCGGACGGTTGGAGGCCCATGGTGATAAAGGGAATATCTTCCCCTACAAGCTAGAAAGAAGCATTCTGTGAAACTTGTTTGTGATGTGTGTACTCAACTAACAGAGTTGAACCTTTCTTTTTACAGAGCAGTTTTGAAACACTCTTTTTGTATAATCTGCGAGGGGATATTTGGATAGATTTCAGGATTTCGTTGGAAACGGGAATATCTTCATATAAAATCTCGACAGAAGCATTCTCAGAAACTTCCTTGTGATATGTGCATTCAAGTCACAGAGTTGAATATTCCCTTTCACAGAGTAGGTTTGAAACACTCTTTTTGTAGTATCTGGAAGTGGACATTTGGAGCGCCTTGAAACCTACGGTGAAAAGGGAAATATCTTCCCATAAAAACTAGACAGAAGCAATCTCAGAATCTTCTTTGGGATATATGCACGCAACTAACAGAGTTGAACCTTTCTATTGACAGAGCAGTTTTGAAACAGTCTTTCTGTGGAATCTGCAAGTGGATATTTGGATAGCTTGCAGGATTTCTTTGGAAATGGGATTACGTATAAAAAGTAGACAGCAACATCCTCAGAAACTTCTTTGTGATGTGTGCATTCAACTCACAGAGTTGAACATTCCCTTTCGTACAGCAGTTTTGAAACACTCTTTCTGTAGTAACTGGAAGTGAACATTAGGACAGCTTTCAGGTCTATGGTGAGAAAGGAAATATCTTCAAATAAAAACTAGACAGAAGCATTCTCATAAACTTGTTTGTGATGTGTGAACTCAGCTAACAGAGGTGGATCTTTCTTTTGATACAGCAGTTTTGAAAAACACTTTTTGTTGAATCCGCAAGTGGACATTTGGATAGATTTGAAGATTTCGTTGGAAACGGGAATATCTTCATATCAAATCTAGACAGAAGCATTCTCAGAAACGTCTTTGTGATGTTTGCATTCAACTCATAGAGTTGAACATTCCGTTTCAGAGAGCAGCTTTGAGGCACTCTTTTTGTAGTATGTGCAAGTGGATATTTGGACCGCTCTGAGGCCTACGGTGAAAAAGCAAATATCTTCCCATAACCACTAGACAGAAACATTCTCAGAAACTCCTTTATGACGTGTGCACTCACCTAACAGAGAAGAACCTTCCTTTTGACAGAGCAGTTTTGATACACTCTTTTTGTAGAATTTGCAAGTGGATATTTGGATAGCTGTGAAGATTTCGTTGGAAACGGGAATATCTTCCTATAAAATCTAGACAGAAGCATTCTCAGAAACTGCTCTGTGATGTCTGCATTCAAGTCACAGAGTTGAACATTGCCTTTCATAGAGCAGGTTTGAAACGCTCTTTTTGTAGTATATGTAAGTAGACGTTTCGGACGGTTTGAGGCCCATGGTGATAAAGGGAATATCTTCCCCTACAAGCTAGAAAGAAGCATTCTGTGAAACTTGTTTGTGATGTGTGTACTCAACTAACAGAGTTGAACCTTTCTTTTTACAAAGCAGTTTTGAAACACTCTTTTTGTAGAATCTGCGAGGGGATATTTGGATAGATTTCAGGATTTCGTTGGAAACGGGAATATCTTCATATAAAATCTCGACAGAAGCATTCTCAGAAACTTCTTTGTGATATGCGCATTCAAGTCACAGTGTTGAATATTCCCTTTCACAGAGTAGGTTTGAAACACTCTTTTTGTAGTATCTGGAAGTGGACATTTGGAGCGCCTTGACACCTATGATGAAAAGGGAAATATCTTCCCATAAAAACTAGACAGAAGCAATCTCAGAATCTTCTTTGGGATATATGCACGCAGCTAACAGAGTTGAACCTTTCTATTGACAGAGCAGTTTTGAAACAGTCTTTCTGTGGAATCTGCAAGTGGATATTTGGATAGCTTGGAGGATTTCGTTGGAAACGGGATTACATATACAAAGTAGACAGCAGCATCCTCAGAAACATCCTTGTGATGTGTGCATTCAAGTCACAGAGTTGAACATTCCCTTTCGTACAGCAGTTTTGAAACACTCTTTCTGTAGTATCTGGAAGTGAACTTTAGCACAGCTTTCAGGTCTATGGTGAGAAAGGAAATATCTTCAAATAAAAACTAGACAGAAGCATTCTCATAAACTTGTTTGTGATGTGTGAACTCAGCTAACAGAGGTGGATCTTTCTTTTGATAGAGCAGTTCTGAAAAACACTTTTTGTTGAATCTGCAAGTGGACATTTGGATAGATTTGAAGATTTCGTTGGAAATGGGAATATCTTCATATCAAATCTAGACAGAAGCATTCTCAGAAACGTCTTTGTGATGTTTGCATTCAACTCATAGAGTTTAACATTCCGTTTCAGAGAGCAGCTTTGAAGCACTCTTTTTGTAGTATGTGCAAGTGGATATTTGGAGCGCTCTGAGGCCTACGGTGAAAAAGCAAATATCTTCCCATAACCACTAGACAGAAACATTCTCAGAAACTCCTTTATGACGTATGTACTCAACTAACAGAGAAGAACCTTCCTTTTGACAGAGCAGATTTGATACACTCTTTTTGTAGAATCTGCAAGTGGATATTTGGATAGCTGTGAAGATTTCGTTGGAAACGGGAATATCTTCCTATAAAATCTAGACAGAAGCATTCTCAGAAACTGCTCTGTGATGTCTGCATTCAAGTCACAGATTTGAACATTGCCTTTCATAGAGCAGGTTTGAAACGCTCTTTTTGTAGTATATGGAAGTGGACGTTTCGGACGGTTTGAGGCCCATGGTGATAAAGGGAATATCTTCCCCTACAAGCTAGAAAGAAGCATTCTGTGAAACTTGTTTGTGATGTGTGTACGCAACTAACAGAGTTGAACCTTTCTTTTTACAGAGCAGTTTTGAAACACTCTTTTTGTAGAATCTGCGAGGGGATATTTGGATACATTTCAGCATTTCGTTGGAAACGGGAATATCTTCATATAAAATCTCGACAGAAGCATTCTCAGAAACTTCTTTGTGATATCTGCCTTCAAGTCACAGAGTTGAATATTCCCTTTCACAGAGTAGGTTTGAAACACTCTTTTTGTAGTATCTGGAAGTGGACATTTGGAGCGCCTTGACGCCTACGGTGAAAAGGGAAATATCTTCCCATAAAAAATAGACAGAAAGCAATCTCAGAATCTTCTTTGGGATATATGCACGCAGCTAACAGAGTTGAACCTTTCTATTGACAGAGCAGTTTTGAAACAGTCTTTCTGTGGAATCTGCAAGTGGATATTTGGATAGCTTGGAGGATTTCGTTGGAAACGGGATTACGTATCAAAAGTAGACAGCAGCATCCTCAGAAACTTCTTTGTGATGTGTGCATTCAAGTCACAGAGTTGAACATTCCCTTTCGTACAGCAGTTTTGAAACACTCTTTCTGTAGTATCTGGAAGTGAACATTAGGACAGCTTTCAGGCCTATGGTGAGAAAGGAAATATCTTCAAATAAAAACTAGACAGAAGCATTCTCATAAACTTGTTTGTGATGTGTGTACTCAGCTAACAGACGTGGATCTTTCTTTTGATAGAGCAGTTCTGAAAAACACTTTTTGTTGAATCTGCAAGTGGACATTTGGATAGATTTGAAGATTTCGTTGGAAACGGGAATATCTTCATATCAAATCTAGACAGAAGCATTCTCAGAAACGCCTTTGTGATGTTTGCATTCAACTCATAGAGTTGAACATTCCCTTTCTGAGAGGAGCTTTGAAGCACTCTTTTTGTAGTATGTGCAAGTGGACATTTGGACCGCTTTGAGGCCTACGGGGAAAAAGCAAATATCTTCCCATAACCACTAGACAGGAACATTCTCAGAAACTTCTTTATGACGTATGTACTCAACTAGCAGAGAAGAACTTTCCTTTTGACAGAGCATTTCTGATACACTCTTTTTGTACTATCTGCAAGTGGATATTTGGATAGCTGTGAAGATTTCGTTGGAAACGGGAATATCTTCCTATAAAGTCTGGACAGAAGCATTCTCAGAAACTGCTCTGTGATGTCTGCATTCAAGTCACAGAGTTGAACATTGCCGTTCATAGAGCAGGTTTGAAACACTCTTTTTGTAGTATATGGAAGTGGACGTTTCGGACGGTTTGAGGCCCATGGTGATAAAGGGAATATCTTCCCATACAAGCTAGAAAGAAGCATTCTGTGAAACTTGTTTGTGATGTGTGTACTCAACTAACAGAGTTGAACCTTTCTTTTTACAGAGCAGTTTTGAAACACTCTTTTTGTAGAATCTGCGAGGGGATATTTGGATAGATTTCAGGATTTCGTTGGAAACGGGAATGTCTTCATATAAAATCTCGACAGAAGCATTCTCAGAAGCTTCTTTGTGATATGTGCATTCAAGTCACAGAGTTCAATATTCCCTTTCACAGAGTAGGTTTGAAACACTCTTTTTGTAGTATCTGGAAGTGGACATTTGGAGCGCCTTGACGCCTACGGTGAAAAGGGTAATATCTTCTCATAAAAAGTAGACAGAAGCAATCTCAGAATCTTCTTTGGGATATATGCACGCAGCTAACAGAGTTGAACCTTTCTATTGACAGAGCAGTTTTGTAACAGTCTTTCTGTGGAATCTGCAAGTGGATATTTGGATAGCTTGGAGGATTACGTTGGAAACGGGATTACGTATAAAAAGTAGACAGCAGCATCCTCAGAAACATCCTTGTGATGTGTGCATTCAAGTCACAGAGTTGAACATTCCCTTTCGTACAGCAGTTTTCAAACACTCTTTCTGTAGTATCTGGAAGTGAACTTTAGGACAGCTTTCAGGTCTATAGTGAGAAAGGATATATCTTCAAATAAAAACTAGACAGAAGCATTCTCATAAACTTGTTTGTGATGTGTGAACTCAGGTAACAGACGTGGATCTTTCTTTTGATACAGCAGTTTTGAAAAACACTTTTTGTTGAATCTGCAAGTGGACATTTGGATAGATTTGAAGATTTCGTTGGAAACGGGAATATCTTCATATCAAATCTAGACAGAAGCATTCTCAGAAACGTCTTTGTGATGTTTCCATTCAACTCATAGAGTTGAACATTCCCTTTCAGAGAGCAGCTTTGAAGCACTCTTTTTGTAGTATGTGCAAGTGGATATTTGGAGCGCTCTGAGGCCTACGGTGAAAAAGCAAATATCTTCCCATAACCACTAGACAGAAACATTCTCAGAAACTCCTTTATGACGTATGCACTCACCTAACAGAGGAGAACCTTCCTTTCGACAGAGCAGTTTTGATACACTCTTTTTGTAGAATCTGCAAGTGGATATTGGGATAGCTGTGAAGATTTCGTTGGAAACGGGAATATCTTCCTATAAAATCTAGACAGAAGCATTCTCAGAAACAGCTCTGTGATGTCTGCATTCAAGTCACAGAGTTGAACATTGCCTTTCATAGAGCAGGTTTGAAACGCTCTTTTTGTAGTATATGGAAGTGGACGTTTCGGACGGTTTGAGGCCCATGGTGATAAAGGGAATATCTTCCCCTACAAGCTAGAAAGAAGCATTCTGTGAAAGTTGTTTGTGATGTGTGTACTCAACTAACAGAGTTGAACCTTTCTTTTTACAGAGCAGTTTTGAAACACTCTTTTTGTAGAATCTGCGAGGGGATATTTGGATAGATTTCAGGATTTCATTGGAAACGGGAATATCTTCATATAAAATCTCGACAGAAGCATTCTCAGAAACTTCTTTGTGATATCTGCTTTCAAGTCACAGAGTTGAATATTCCCTTTCACAGAGTAGGTTTGAAACACTCTTTCTGTAGTATCTGGAAGTGGACATTTGGAGCGCCTTGACACCTACGGTGAAAAGGGAAATATCTTCCCATAAAAACTAGACAGAAGCAATCTCAGAATCTTCTTTGGGATATATGCACGCAGCTAACGGAGTTGAACATTTCTATTGACAGAGCAGTTTTGAAACAGTCGTTCTGTGGAATCTGCAAGTGGATATTTGGATAGCTTGGAGGATTTCGTTGGAAACGGGATTACGTATAAAAAGTAGACAGCAGCATCCTCAGAAACTTCTTTGTGATGTGTGCATTCAAGTCACAGAGTTGAACATTCCCTTTCGTACAGCAGTTTTGACACACTCTTTCTGTAGCATCTGGAAGTGAACATTAGGACAGCTTTCAGGTCTATGGTGAGAAAGGAAATATCTTCAAATAAAAACTAGACAGAAGCATTCTCATAAACTTGTTTGTGATGTGTGAACTCAGCTAACAGAGGTGGATCTTTCTTTTGATAGAGCAGTTCTGAAAAACACTTTTTGTTGAATCTGCAAGTGGACATTAGGATAGATTTGAAGATTTCGTTGGAAACGGGAATATCTTCATATCAAATCTAGACAGAAGCATTCTCAGAAACGTCTTTGTCATGTTTGCATTCAACTCATAGAGTTGAACATTCCCTTTCAGAGAGCAGCTTTGAAACACTCTTTTTGTAGTATGTGCAAGTGGATATTTGGAGCGCTCTGAGGCCTACGGTGAAAAAGCAAATATCTTCCCATAACCACGAGACAGAAACATTCTCAGAAACTCCTTTATGACGTATGTACTCAACTAACAGAGAAGAACCTTCCTTTTGACAGAGCAGTTTTGATACACTCTTTTTGTAGAATCTGCAAGTGGATATTTGGATAGCTGTGAAGATTTCGTTGGAAACGGGAATACCTTCCTATAAAATCTAGACAGAAGCATTCTCAGAAACTGCTCTGTGATGTCTGCATTCAAGTCACAGAGTTGAACATTGCCTTTCATAGAGCAGGTTTGAAACGCTCTTTTTGTAATATATGGAAGTGGACTTTTCGGACGGTTTGAGGCCCATGGTGATAAAGGGAGTATCTTCCCCTACAAGCTAGAAAGAAGCATTCTGTGAAACTTGTTTGTGATGTGTGTACTCAACTAACAGAGTTGAACCTTCCTTTTTACAGAGCAGTTTTGAAACACTCTTTTTGTAGAATCTGCGAGGGGATATTTGGATAGATTTCAGGATTTCGTTGGAAACGGGAATATCTTCATATAGAAATCTCGACAGAAGCATTCTCAGAAACTTCTTTGTGATATGTGCATTCAAGTCACAGAGATGAATATTCCCTTTCACAGAGTAGGTTTGAAACACTCTTTTTGTACTATCTGGAAGTGGACATTTGGAGCGCCTTGACGCCTACGGTGAAAAGGGAAATATCTTCCCATAAAAACTAGACAGAAGCAATCTCAGAATCTTCTTTGGGATATATGCACGCAGCTAACAGAGTTGAACCTTTCTATTGACAGAGCAGTTTTGAAACAGTCTTTCTGTGGAATCTGCAAATGGATATTTGGATAGCTTGGAGGATTTCGTTGGAAACGGGATTACGTATAAAAAGTAGACAGCAGCATCCTCAGGAACCTTCTTTGTGATGTGTGCATTCAAGTCACAGAGTTGAACATTCCCTTTCGTACAGCAGTTTTGAAACACTCTTTCTGTAGTAACTGGAAGTGAACATTAGGACAGCTTTCAGGTCTATGGTGAGAAAGGAAATATCTTCAAATAAAAACTAGACAGAAGCATTCTCATAAACTTGTTTGTGATGTGTGAACTCAGCTAACAGAGGTGGATCTTTCTTTTGATAGAGCAGTTCTGAAAAACACTTTTTGTTGAATCTGCAAGTGGACATTTGGATAGATTTGAAGATTTCGGTGGAAACGGGAATATCTTCATATCAAATCTAGACAGAAGCATTCTTGGAAACGTCTTTGTGATGTTTGCATTCAACTCATAGAGTTGAACATTCCCTTTCAGAGAGCAGCTTTGAAGCACTCTTTTTGTAGTATGTGCAAGTGGATATTTGGAGCGCTCTGAGGCCTACGGTGAAAAAGCAAATATCTTCCCATAACCACTACACAGAAACATTCTCAGAAACTCCTTTATGACGTATGCACTCACCTAACAGAGAAGAACCTTCCTTTTGACAGAGCAGTTTTGATACACTCTTTTTGTAGAATCTACAAGTGGATATTTGGATAGCTGTGAAGATTTCGTTGGAAACGGGAATATCTTCCTATAAAATCTAGACAGAAGCATTCTCAGAAACTGCTCTGTGATGTCTGCATTCAAGTCACAGAGCTGAACATTGCCTTTCATAGAGCAGGTTTGAAACGCTCTTTTTGTAGTATATGTAAGTGGACGTTTCGGACGGTTTGAGGCCCATGGTGATAAAGGGAATATCTTCCCCTACAAGCTAGAAAGAAGCATTCTGTGAAACTTGTTTGTGATGTGTGTACTCAACTAACAGAGTTGAACCTTTCTTTTTACAGAGCAGTTTTGAAACACTCTTTTTGTAGAATCTGCGAGGGGATATTTGGATAGATTTCATGATTTCGTTTGAAACGGGAATATCTTCATATAAAATCTCGACAGAAGCATTCTCAGAAACTTCTTTGTGATATGTGCATTCAAGTCACAGAGTTGAATATTCCCTTTCACAGAGTAGGTTTGAAACACTCTTTTTGTAGTATCTGGAAGTGGACATTTGGAGCGCCTTGACACCTACGGTGAAAAGGGAAATATCTTCCCATAAAACTAGACAGAAGCAATCTCAGAATCTTCTTTGGGATATATGCACGCAGGTAACAGAGTTGAACCTTTCTATTGACAGAGCAGTTTTGAAACAGTCTTTCTGTGGAATCTGCAAGTGGATATTTGGATAGCTTGGAGGATTTCGTTGGAAACGGGATTACGTATAAAAAGTAGACAGCAGCATCCTCAGAAACTTCTTTGTGATGTGTGCATTCAAGTCACAGAGTTGAACATTCCCTTTCGTACAGCAGTTTTGAAACACTCTTTCTGTAGTATCTGGAAGTGAACATTACGACAGCTTTCAGGTCTATGGTGAGAAAGGAAATATCTTCAAATAAAAACTAGACAGAAGCATTCTCATAAACTTGTTTGTGATGTGTGAACTCAGCTAACAGAGGTGGATCTTTCTTTTGATAGAGCAGTTCTGAAAAACACTTTTTGTTGAATCTGCAAGTGGACATTTGGATAGATTTCAAGATTTCGTTGGAAACGGGAATATCTTCATATCAAATCTAGACGGAAGCATTCTCAGAAACGTCTTTGTGATGTTTGCATTCAACTCATAGAGTTGAACATTCCGTTTCAGAGAGCAGCTTTGAGGCACTCTTTTTGTACTATGTGCAAGTGGATATTTGGAGCGCTCTGAGGCCTACGGTGAAAAAGCAAATATCTTCCCATAACCACTAGACAGAAACATTCTCAGAAACTCCTTTATGACGTATGTACTCAACTAACAGAGAAGAACCTTCCTTTTGACAGAGCAGTTTTGATACACTCTTTTTGTAGAATCTGCAAGTGGATATTTGGATAGCTGTGAAGATTTCGTTGGAAACGGGAATACATTCCTATAAAATCTAGACAGAAGCATTCTCAGAAACTGCTCTGTGATGTCTGCATTCAAGTCACAGAGTTGAACATTGCCTTTCCTAGAGCAGGTTTGAAACGCTCTTTTTGTAGTATATGGAAGTGGACGTTTCGGACGGTTTGAGGCCCATGGTGATAAAGGGAATATCTTCCCCTACAAGCTAGAAAGAAAGCATTCTGTGAAACTTGTTTGTGATGTGTGTACTCAACTAATAGAGTTGAACCTTTCTTTTTACAGAGCAGTTTTGAAACACTCTTTTTGTAGAATCTGCGAGGGGATATTTGGATAGATTTCAGGATTTCGTTGGAAACGGGAATATCTTCATAGAAAATCTCGACAGAAGCATTCTCAGAAGCTTCTTTGTGATATGTGCATTCAAGTCACAGAGTTGAATATTCCCTTTCACAGAGTAGGTTTGAAACACTCTTTTTGTAGTATCTGGAAGTGGACATTTGGAGCGCCTTGACGCCTACGGTGAAAAGGGAAATATCTTCTCATAAAAAGTAGACACAAGCAATCTCAGAATCTTCTTTGGGATATATGCACGCAGCTAACAGAGTTGAACCTTTCTATTGACAGAGCAGTTTTGAAACAGTCTTTCTGTGGAATCTGCAAGTGGATATTTGGATAGCTTGGAGGATTTCGTTGGAAACGGGATTACGTATAAAAAGTACACAGCAGCATCCTCAGAAACTTCTTTGTGATGTGTGCATTCAAGTCACAGAATTGAACATTCCCTTTCGTACAGCAGTTTTGAAACACTCTTTCTGTAGTATCTGGAAGTGAACTTTAGGAGAGCTTTCAGGTCTATAGTGAGAAAGGAAATATCTTCAAATAAAAACTAGACAGAAGCATTCTCCTAAACTTGTTTGTGATGTGTGAACTCAGCTAACAGACGTGGATCTTTCTTTTGATACAGCAGTTTTGAAAAACACTTTTTGTTGAATCTGCAAGTGGACATTTGGATAGATTTGAAGATTTCGTTGGAAACGGGAATATCTTCATATCAAATCTAGACAGAAGCATTCTCAGAAACGTCTTTGTGATGTTTACATTCAACTCATAGAGTTGAACATTCCCTTTCAGAGAGCAGCTTTGAAGCACTCTTTTTGTAGCATGTGCAAGTGGACATTTGGAGCGCTCTGAGGTCTACGGGGAAAAAGCAAATATCTTCCCATAACCACTAGACAGAAACATTCTCAGAAACTCCTTTATGACGTATGCACTCACCTAACAGAAAAGAACCTTCCTTTTGACAGAGCAGTTTTGATACACTCTTTTTGTAGAATCTGCAAGTGGATATTTGGATAGCTGTGAAGATTTCGTTGGAAACGGGAATATCTTCCTATAAAATCTCGACAGAAGCATTCTCAGAAACTGCTCTGTGATGTCTGCATTCAACTCACAGAGTTGAACATTGCCTTTCATAGAGCAGGTTTGAAACGCTCTTTTTGTAGTATATGGAAGTGGACGTTTCGGACGGTTTGAGGCCCATGGTGATAAAGGGAATATCTTCCCCTACAAGCTAGAAAGAAAGCATTCTGTGAAACTTGTTTGTGATGTGTGTACTCAACTAACAGAGTTGAACCTTTCTTTTTACAGAGCAGTTTTGAAACACTCTTTTTGTAGAATCTGCGAGGGGATATTTGGATACATTTCAGCATTTCGTTGGAAACGGGAATATCTTCATATAAAATCTCGACAGAAGCATTCTCAGAAACTTCTTTGTGATATCTGCATTCAAGTCACAGAGTTGAATATTCCCTTTCACAGAGTAGGTTTGAAACACTCTTTTTGTAGTATCTGGAAGTGGACATTTGGAGCGCCTTGACACCTACGGTGAAAAGGCAAATATCTTCCCATAAAAACTAGACAGAAGCAATCTCAGAATCTTCTTTGGGATATATGCACGCAGCTAACAGAGTTGAACCTTTCTACTGACAGAGCAGTTCTGAAACAGTCTTTCTGTGGAATATGCAAGTGGATATTTGGATAGCTTGGAGGATTTCGTTGGAAACGGGATTACGTATAAAAAGTAGACAGCAGCATCCTCAGAAACTTCTTTGTGATGTGTGCATTCAAGTCACAGAGTTGAACATTCCCTTTCGTACAACAGTTTTGAAACACTCTTTCTGTAGTATCTGGAAGTGAACATTAGGACAGCTTTCAGGTCTATGGTGAGAAAGGAAATATCTTCAAATAAAAACTAGACAGAAGCATTCTCATAAACTTGTTTGTGATGTGTGAACTCAGCTAACAGAGGTGGATCTTTCTTTTGATAGAGCAGTTCTGAAAAACACTTTTTGTTGAATCTGCAAGTGGACATTTGGATAGATTAGAAGATTTCGTTGGAAACGGGAATATCTTCATATCAAATCTAGACAGAAGCATTCTCAGAAACGTCTTTGCGATGTTTGCATTCAACTCATAGAGTTGAACATTCCGTTTCAGAGAGCAGCTTTGAGGCACTCTTTTTGTAGTATGTGCAAGTGGATATTTGGAGCCCTCTGAGGCCTACGGTGAAAAAGCAAATATCTTCCCATAACCACTAGACAGAAACATTCTCAGAAACTCCTTTGTGACGTATGCACTCACCTAACAGAAAAGAACCTTCCTTTTCACAGAGCAGTTTTGATACACTCTTTTTGTAGAATCTGCAAGTGGATATTTGGATAGCTGTGAAGATTTCGTTGGAAACGGGAATATCTTCCTATAAAATCTAGACAGAAGCATTCTCAGAAACTGCTCTGTGATGTCTGCATTCAAGTCACAGAGTTGAACATTGCCTTTCCTAGAGCAGGGTTGAAATGCTCTTTTTGTAGTATATGGAAGTGGACGTTTCGGACGGTTTGAGGCCCATGGTGATAAAGGGAATATCTTCCCCTACAAGCTAGAAAGAAGCATTCTGTGAAACTTGTTTGTGATGTGTGTACTCAACTAACAGAGTTGAACCTTTCTTTTTACAGAGCAGTTTTGAAACACTCTTTTTGTAGAATCTGCGAGGGGATATTTGGATACATTTCAGGATTTCGTTGGAAACGGGAATATCTTCATATAAAATCCCGACAGAAGCATTCTCAGAAGCTTCTTTGTGATATGTGCATTCAAGTCACAGAGTTGAATATTCCCTTTCACAGAGTAGGTTTGAAACACTCTTTTTGTAGTATCTGGAAGTGGACATTTGGAGCGCCTTGACGCCTACGTTGAAAAGGGAAATATCTTCTCATAAAAAGTAGACAGCAGCAATCTCAGAATCTTCTTTGGGATATATGCACGCAGCTAACAGAGTTGAACCTTTCTATTGACAGAGCAGTTTTGAAACAGTCTTTCTGTGGAATCTGCAAGTGGATATTTGGATAGCTTGGACGATTTCGTTGGAAACGGGATTACGTATAAAAAGTAGACAGCAGCCTCCTCAGAAACTTCTTTGTGATGTGTGCATTCAAGTCACAGAGTTGAACATTCCCTTTCGTACAGCAGTTTTGAAACACTCTTTCTGTAGTATCTGGAAGTGAACATTAGGACAGCTTTCAGGTCTATGGTGAGAAAGGAAATATCTTCAAATAAAAACTAGACAGAAGCATTCTCATAAACTTGTTTGTGATGTGTGAACTCAGCTAACAGACGTGGATCTTTCTTTTGATACAGCAGTTTTGAAAAACACTTTTTGATGAATCTGCAAGTGGACATTTGGATAGATTTGAAGATTTCGTTGGAAACGGGAATATCTTCATATCAAATCTAGACAGAAGCATTCTCAGAAACGTCTTTGGGATGTTTGCATTCAACTCATACAGTTGAACATTCCGTTTCAGAGAGCAGCTTTGAAGCACTCTTTTTGTAGTATGTGCAAGTGGATATTTGGAGCGCTCTGAGGCCTACGGTGAAAAAGCAAATATCTTCCCATAACCACTAGACAGAAACATTCTCAGAAACTCCTTTATCACGTATGCACTCACCCAACAGAGAAGAACCTTCCTTTTGACAGAGCAGTTTTGATACACTCTTTTTGTAGAATCTGCAAGTGGATATTTGGATAGCTGTGAAGATTTCGTTGGAAACGGGAATATCTTCCTATAAAATCTAGACAGAAGCATTCTCAGAAACTGCTCTGTGATGTCTGCATTCAAGTCACAGAGTTGAACATTGCCTTTCCTAGAGCAGGTTTGAAACGCTCTTTTTGTAGTATATGGAAGTGGACGTTTCGGACGGTTTGAGGCCCATGGTGATAAAGGGAATATCTTACCCTACAAGCTAGAAAGAAGCATTCTGTGAAACTTGTTTGTGATGTGTGTACTCAACTAACAGAGTTCAACCTTTCTTTTTACAGAGCAGTTTTGAAACACTCTTTCTGTAGAATCTGCGAGGGGATATTTGGATAGATTTCAGGATTTCGTTGGAAACGGGAATATCTTCATATAAAATCTCGACAGAAGCATTCTCAGAAACTTCTTTGTGATATGTGCATTCAAGTCACAGAGTTGAATATTCCCTTTCACAGAGTAGGTTTGAAACACTCCTTTTGTAGTATCTGGAAGTGGACATTTGGAGCGCCTTGACGCCTACGGTGAAAAGGGAAATATCTTCCCATAAAAACTAGACAGAAGCAATCTCAGAATCTTCTTTGTGATATATGCACCCAGCTAACAGAGTTGAACCTTTCTATTGACAGAGCAGTTTTGAAACAGTCTTTCTGTGGAATCTGCAAGTGGATATTTGGATAGCTTGGAGGATTTCGTTGGAAACGGGATTACGTATAAAAAGTAGACAGCAGCATCCTCAGAAACTTCTTTGTGATGTGTGCATTCAAGTCACAGAGTTGAACATTCCCTTTCGTACAGCAGTGTTGAAACACTCTTTCTGTAGTATCTGGAAGTGAACATTAGGACAGCTTTCAGGTCTATGGTGAGAAAGGAAATATCTTCAAATAAAAACTAGACAGAAGCATTCTGATAAACTTGTTTGTGAAGTGTGAACTCAGCTAACAGAGGTGGATCTTTCTTTTGATAGAGCAGTTCTGAAAAACACTTTGTTGAATCTGCAAGTGGACATTTGGATAGATTTGAAGATTTCGTTGGAAACGGGAATATCTTCATATCAAATCTAGACAGAAGCATTCTCAGAAACGTCTTTGTGATGTTTGCATTCAACTCATAGAGTTGAACATTCCCTTTCAGAGAGCAGCTTTGAAGCACTCTTTTTGTAGTATGTGCAAGTGGATATTTGGAGAACTCTGAGGCCTACGGTGAAAAAGCAAATATCTTCCCATAACCACTAGACAGAAACATTCTCAGAAACTCCTTTATGACGTATGTACTCAACTAACAGAGAAGAACCTTCTTTTTGACTGAGCAGTTTTGATACACTCTTTTTGTAGAATCTGCAAGTGCATATTTGGATAGCTGTGAAGATTTCGTTGGAAACGGGAATATCTTCCTATAAAATCTAGACAGAAGCATTCTCAGAAACTGCTCTGTGATGTCTGCATTCAAGTCACAGAGTTGAATATTCCCTTTCACAGAGTAGGTTTGAAACACTCTTTTTGTAGTATCTGGAAGTGGACATTTGGAGCGCCTTGACGCCTACGGTGAAAAGGGAAATATCTTCCCATAAAAACTAGACAGAAGCATTCTGTGAAACTTGTTTGTGATGTGTGTACTCAACTAACAGAGTTGAACCTTTCTTTTTACAGAGCAGTTTTGAAACACTCTTTTCGTAGAATCTGCGAGGGGATATTTGGATAGATTTCAGGATTTCGTTGGAAACGGGAATATCTTCATATAAAATCTCGACAGAAGCATTCTCTGAAACTTCTTTGTGATATGTGCATTCAAGTCACAGAGTTGAATATTCCCTTTCACAGAGTAGGTTTGAAACACTCTTTTTGTAGTATCTGGAAGTGGACATTTGGAGCGCCTTGACGCCTACGGTGAAAAGGGAAATATCTTCTCATAAAAAGTAGACAGAAGCAATCTCAGAATCTTCTTTGGTATATATGCACGCAGCTAACAGAGTTGAACCTTTCTATTGACAGAGCAGTTTTGAAACAGTCTTTCTGTGGAATCTGCAAGTGGATATTTGGATAGCTTGGAGGATTTCGTTGGAAACGGGATTACGTATAAAAAGTAGACAGCAGCATCCTCAGAAACTTCTTTGTGATGTGTGCATTCAAGTCACAGAGTTGAACATTCCCTTTCGTACAGCAGTTTTGAAACACTCTTTCTGTAGTATCTGGAAGTGAACATTATGACAGCTTTCAGGTCTATGGTGAGAAAGGAAATATCTTCAAATAAAAACTAGACAGAAGCATTCTCATAAACTTGTTTGTGATGTCTGAACTCAGCTAACAGGTGGATCTTTCTTTTGATAGAGCAGTTCTGAAAAACACTTTTTGTTGAATCTGCAAGTGGACATTTGGATAGATTTGAAGATTTCGTTGGAAACGGGAATATCTTCATATCAAATCTAGACAGAAGCATTCCCAGAAACGTCTTTGTGATGTTTGCATTCAACTCATAGAGTTGAACATTCCCTTTCAGAGAGCAGCTTTGAAGCACTCTTTTTGTAGTATGTGCAAGGGGATATTTGGAGTGCTCTGAGGCCTACGGTGAAAAAGCAAATATCTTCCCATAACCACTAGACAGAAACATTCTCAGAAACTCCTTTATGACGTATGCACTCACCTAACAGAGAAGAACCTTCCTTTTGACAGTGCAGTTTTGATACACTCTTTTTGTAGAATCTGCAAGTGGATATTTGGATAGCTGTGAAGATTTCGTTGGAAACGGGAATATCTTCCTATAAAATCTAGACAGAAGCATTCTCAGAAACTGCTCTGTGATGTCTGCATTCAACTCACAGAGTTGAACATTGCCTTTCATAGAGCAGGTTTGAAACACTCTTTTTGTAGTATATGGAAGTGGACGTTTCGGACGGTTTGAGGCCCATGGTGATAAAGGGAATATCTTCCCCTACAAGCTAGAAAGAAGCATTCTGTGAAACTTGTTTGTTATGTGTGTACTCAACTAACAGAGTTGAACCTTTCTTTTCACAGAGCAGTTTTGAAACACTCTTTTTGTAGAATCTGCGAGGGGATATTTGGATAGATTTCAGGATTTCGTTGGAAACGGGAATATCTTCATATAAAATCTCGACAGAAGCATTCTCAGAAACGTCTTTGTGATATGTATATTCAAGTCACAGAGTTGAATATTCCCTTTCACAGAGTAGGTTTGAAACACTCTTTTTGTAGTATCTGGAAGGGGACATTTGGAGCACCTTGACGCCTACGGTGAAAAGGGAAATATCTTCCCATAAAAACTAGACAGAAGCAATCTCAGAATCTTCTTTGGGATATATGCACGCAGCTAACAGAGTTGAACCTTTCTATTGACAGAGCAGTTTTGAAACAGTCTTTCTGTGGAATCTGCAAGTGGATATTTGGATAGATTAGAGGATTTCGTTGGAAACGGGATTACGTATAAAAAGTAGACAGCAGCATCCTCAGAAACTTCTTTGTGATGTGTGCATTCAAGTCACAGAGTTGAACATTCCCTTTCGTACAGCAGTTTTGAAACACTCTTTCTGTAGTATCTGGAAGTGAGCATTAGGAGAGCTTTCAGGTCTATGGTGAGAAAGGATATATCTTCAAATAAAAACTAGACAGAAGTATTCTGATAAACTTGTTTGTGAAGTGTGAACTCAGCTAACAGAGGTGGATCTTTCTTTCGAAACAGCAGTTTCGAAAAACACTTTTTGTTGAATCTGCAAGTGGACATTTGAATAGATTTGAAGATTTCGTTGGAAATGGGAATATCTTCATATCAAATCTAGACAGAAAGCATTCTCAGAAACGTCTTTGTCATGTTTGCATTCAACTCATAGAGTTGAACATTCCCTTTCAGAGAGCAGCTTTGAAACACTCTTTTTGTAGTATGTGCAAGTGGATATTTGGAGCGCTCTGAGGCCTAAGGTGAAAAAGCAAATATCTTCCCATAACCACTAGACAGAAACATTCTCAGAAACTCCTTTAAACGTATGCACTCACCTAACAGAGAAGAACCTTCCTTTTGACAGAGCAGTTTTGATACACTCTTTTTGTAGAATCTGCAAGTGGATATTTGGATAGCTGTGAAGATTTCGTTGGAAACGGGAATATCTTCCTATAAAATCTAGACAGAAGCATTCTCAGAAACTGCTCTGTGATGTCTGCATTCAAGTCACAGAAGTTGAACATTGCCTTTCATAGAGCAGGTTTGAAACGCTCTTTTTGTAGTATATGGAAGTGGACGTTTCGGACGGTTGGAGGCCCACGGTGATAAAGGGAATATCTTCCCCTACAAGCTAGAAAGAAGCATTCTGTGAAACTTGTTTGTGATGTGTGTACTCAACTAATAGAGTTGAACCTTTCTTTTTACAGAGCAGTTTTGAAACACTCTTTTTGTAGAATCTGCGAGGGGATATTTGGATAGATTTCAGGATTTCGTTGGAAACGGGAATATCTTCATATAAAATACTCGACAGAAGCATTAGCAGAAACTTCTTTGTGATATGTGCATTCAAGTCACAGAGTTGAATATTCCCTTTCACAGAGTAGGTTTGAAACACTCTTTTTTTAGTATCTGGAAGTGGACATTTGGAGCGCCTTGACGCCTATGGTGAAAAGGGAAATATCTTCCCATAAAAACTAGACAGAAGCAATCTCAGAATCTTCTTTGTGATATATGCACGCAGCTAACAGAGTTTAACCTTTCTATTGACAGAGCAGTTTTGAAACAGTCTTTCTGTGGAATCTGCAAGTGGATATTTGGATAGATTGGAGGATTTCGTTGGAAACGGGATTACGTATAAAAAGTAGACAGCAGCATCCTCAGAATCTTCCTTGTGACGTGTGCATTCAAGTCACAGAGTTGAACATTCCCTTTCGTACAGCAGTTTTGAAAAACTCTTTCTGTAGTATCTGGAAGTGAACTTTAGGAGAGCTTTCAGGTCTATAGTGAGAAAGGATATATCTTCAAATAAAAACTAGACAGAAGAATTCTGATAAACTTGTTTGTGAAGTGTGAACTCAGCTAACACAGGTGGATCTTTCTTTTGATACAGCAGTTTTGAAAAACACTTTGTTGAATCTGCAAGTGGACATTTGGATAGATTTGAAGATTTCGTTGGAAACGGGAATATCTTCATATCAAATCTAGACAGAAGCATTCTCAGAAACGTCTTTGTGATGTTTGCATTCAACTCATAGAGTTGAACATTCCCTTTCAGAGAGCAGCTTTGAAGCACTCTTTTTGTAGTATGTTCAAGTGGACATTTGGAGCGCTTTGAGGCATACGGGGAAAAAGCAAATATCTTCCCATAACCACTAGACAGAAACATTCTCAGAAACTCCTTTATGACGTATGCACTCACCTAACAGAGAAGAACCTTCCTTTTGACAGAGCAGTTTTGATACACTCTTTTTGTAGAATCTGCAAGTGGATATTTGGATAGCTGTGAAGATTTCGTTGGAAATGGGAATATCTTCCTATAAAATCTAGACAGAAGCATTCTCAGAAACTGCTCTGTGATGTCTGCATTCAAGTCACAGAGTTGAACATTGCCTTTCATAGAGCAGGTTTGAAACGCTCTTTTTGTAATATATGGCAGTGGACGTTTCGGACGGTTTGAGGACCATGGTGATAAAGGGAATATCTTCCCCTACAAGCTAGAAAGAAGCATTCTGTGAAACTTGTTTGTGATGTGTGTACTCAACTAACAGAGTTGTACCTTTCTTTTCACAGAGCAGTTTTGAAACACTCTTTTTGTAGAATCTGCGAGGGGATATTTGGATAGATTTCAGGATTTCGTTGGAAACGGGAATATCTTCATATAAAATCTCGACAGAAGCATTCTCAGAAACTTCTTTGTGATATCTGCATTCCAGTCACAGAGTTGAATATTCCCTTTCACAGAGTAGGTTTGAAACACTCTTTTTGCAGTATCTGGAAGTGGACATTTGGAGCGCCTTGACGCCTACGGTGAAAAGGGAAATATCTTCCCATAAAAACTAGACAGAAGCAATCTCCGAATCTTCTTTGGGATATATGCACGCAGCTAACAGAGTTGAACCTTTCTATTGACAGAGCAGTTTTGAAACAGTCTTTCTGTGGAATCTGCAAGTGGATATTTGGATAGCTTGGAGGATTTCGTTGGAAAAGGGATTATGTATAAAAAGTAGACAGCAGCATCCTCAGAAACTTCTTTGTGATGTGTGCATTCAAGTCACAGAGTTGAACATTCCCTTTCGTACAGCAGTTTTGAAACATTCTTTCTGTAGTATCTGGAAGTGAACATTAGGACAGCTTTCAGGTCTATGGTGAGAAAGGAAATATCTTCAAATAAAAACTAGACAGAAGCATTCTCATAAACTTGTTTGTGATGTCTGAACTCAGCTAACAGACGTGGATCTTTCTTTTGATACAGCAGTTTTGAAAAACACTTTTTGTTGAATCTGCAAGTGGACATTTGGATAGATTTGAAGATTTCGTTGGAAACGGGAATATCTTCATATGAAATCTAGACAGAAGCATTCTCAGAAACGTCTTTGTGATGTTTGCATTCAACTCATAGAGTTGAACATTCCCTTTGAGAGAGCAGCTTTGAAGCACTCTTTTTGTAGCATGTGCATGTGGACATTTGGAGCGCCCTGAGGCCTATGGGGAAAAAGCAAATATCTTCCCATAACCACTAGACAGAAACATTCTGAGAAACTCCTTTATGACGTATGCACTCACCTAACCGAGAAGAACCTTCCTTTTGACAGAGCATTTTTGATACACTCTTTTTGTAGAATCTGCAAGTGGATATTTGGATAGCTGTGAAGATTTCGTTGGAAACGGGAATATCTTCCTATAAAATCTAGACAGAAGCATTCTCAGAAACTGCTCTGTGATGTCTGCATTCAAGTCACAGAGTTGAACATTGCCTTTCATAGAGCAGGTTTGAAACGCTCTTTTTGTAGTATATGTAAGTGGACGTTTCGGACAGTTTGAGGCCCATGGTGATAAAGGGAATATCTTCCCCTACAAGCTAGAAAGAAGCATTCTGTGAAACTTGTTTGTGATGTGTGTACTCAACTAACAGAGTTGAACCTTTCTTTTTACAGAGGAGTTTTGAAACACTCTTTTTGTAGAATCTGCGAGGGGATATTTGGATAGATTTCAGGATTTCGTTGGAAACGGGAATATCTTCATATAAAATCTCGACAGAAGCATTCTCAGAAACTTCTTTGTGATATGTGCATTCAAGTCACAGAGTTGAATATTCCCTTTCGCAGTGTAGGTTTGAAACACTCTTTTTGTAGTATCTGGAAGTGGACATTTGGAGCGCCTTGACGCCTACGGTGAAAAGGGAAATATCTTCCCATAAAAACTAGACAGAAGCAATCTCAGAATCTTCTTTGGGATATATGCACGCAGCTAACAGAGTTGAACCTTTCTACTGACAGAGCAGTTTTGAAACAGTCTTTCTGTGGAATCTGCAAGTGGATATTTGGATAGCTTGGAGGATTTCGTTGGAAACGGGATTACGTATAAAAAGTAGACAGCAGCATTCTCAGAAACTTCTTTGTGATGTGTGCATTCAAGTCACAGAGTTGAACATTCCCTTTTGTAGAACAGGTTTGAAACACTCTTTCTGTAGTATCTGGAAGTGAACATTTCGAGAGCTTTCAGGCCTATGGTGAGAAAGGAAATATCTTCAAATAAAAACTAGACAGAAGCATTCTCATAAACTTGTTTGTGATGTGTGAACTCAGCTAACAGAGGTGGATCTTTCGATAGAGCAGTTCTGAAAAACACTTTTTGTTGAATCTGCAAGTGGACATTTGGATAGATTTGAAGATTTCGTTGGAAACGGGAATATCTTCATATCAAATCTAGACAGAAGCATTCTCAGAAACGTCTTTGCGATGTTTGCATTCAACTCATAGAGTTGAACATTCCGTTTCAGAGAGCAGCTTTGAAGCACTCTTTTTGTAGTATGTGCAAGTGGATATTTGGAGCGCTCTGAGGCCTACGGTGAAAAAGCAAATATCTTCCCATAACCACTAGACAGAAACATTCTCAGAAACTCCTTTATGACGTATGCCCTCACCTAACAGAGAATAACCTTCCTTTTGACAGAGCATTTTTGATACACTCTTTTTGTAGCATCTGCAAGTGGATATTTGGATAGCTGTGAAGATTTCGTTGGAAACGGGAATATCTTCCTATAAAATCTAGACAGAAGCATTCTCAGAAACTGATCTGTGATGTCTGCATTCAAGTCACAGAGTTGAACATTGCCTTTCGTAGAGCAGGTTTGAAACGCTCTTTTTGTAGTATATGGAAGTAGACGTTTCGGACGGTTTGAGGCCCATGGTGATAAAGGGAATATCTTCCCCTGCAAGCTAGAAAGAAGCATTCTGTGAAACTTGTTTGTGATGTGTGTACTCAACTAACAGAGTTGAACCTTTCTTTTTACAGAGCAGTTTTGAAACACTCTTTTTGTAGAATCTGTGAGGGGATATTTGGATAGATTTGAGGATTTCGTTGGAAACGGGAATATCTTCATATAAAATCTCGACAGAAGCATTCTCAGAAACTTCTTTGTGATATGTGTATTCAAGTCACAGAGTTGAATACTCCCTTTCACAGAGTAGGTTTGAAAAACTCTTTTTGTAGTATCTGGAAGTGGACATTTGGAGCGCCTTGACGCCTACGGTGAAAAGGGAAATATCTTCCCATAAAAACTAGACAGAAGCAATCTCAGAATTTTCTTTGGGATATATGCACACAGCTAACAGAGTTGAACTTTTCTATTGACATAGCAGTTTTGAAACAGTCTTTCTGTGGAATCTGCAAGTGGATATTTGGATAGCTTGGAGGATTTCGTTGGAAACGGGATTACGTATAAAAAGTAGACAGCAGCATCCTCAGAAACTTTTTTGTGATGTGTGCATTCAAGTCACAGAGTTGAACATTCCCTTTAGTACAGCAGTTTTGAAACACTCTTTCTGTAGTATCTGGAAGTGAACATTAGGACAGCTTTCAGGTCTATGGTGAGAAAGGAAATATCTTCAAATAAAAACTAGACAGAAGCATTGTCATAAACTTGTTTGTGATGTGTGAACTCAGCTAACAGAGGTGGATCTTTCTTTTGATAGAGCAGTTCTGAAAAACACGTTTTGTTGAATCTGCAAGTGGACATTTGGATAGATTTGAAGATTTCGTTGGAAACGGGAATATCGTCATATCAAATCTAGACAGAAGCATTCTCAGAAACGTCTTTGCGATGTTTGCATTCAACTCATAGAGTTGAACATTCCGTTTCAGAGAGCAGCTTTGAGGCACTCTTTTTGTAGTATGTGCAAGTGGATATTTGGAGTGCTCTGAGGCCTACGGTGAAAAAGCAAATATCTTCCCATAACCACTAGACAGAATCATTCTCAGAAACTCCTTTATGACGTATGCACTCACCTAACAGAGAAGAACCTTCCTTTTGACAGAGCAGTTTTGATACACTCTTTTTGTAGAATCTGCAAGTGGATATTGGGATAGCTGTGAAGATTTCGTTGGAAACGGGAATATCTTCATATAAAATCTCGACAGAAGCATTCTCAGAAACTGCTCTGTGATGTCTGCATTCAAGTCACAGAGTTGAACATTGCCTTTCATAGAGCAGGTTTGAAACCCTCTTTTTGTAGTATATGGAAGTGGACTTATCGGACGGTTTGAGGCCCATGGTGATAAAGGGAATATCTTCCCCTACAAGCTAGAAAGAAGCATTCTGTGAAACTTGTTTGTGAGGTGTGTACTCAACTAACAGAGTTGAACCTTTCTTTTTACAGAGCAGTTTTGAAACAGTCTTTTTGTAGAATCTGCGAGGGGATATTTGGATAGATTTCAGGATTTCGTTGGAAACGGGAATATCTTCATATAAAATCTCGACAGAAGCATTCTCAGAAACTTCTTTGTGATATCTGCATTCAAGTAACAGAGTTGAATATTCCCTTTCACATAGTAGGTTTGAAACACTCTTTTTGTAGTATCTGGAAGTGGACATTTGGAGCTCTGTGACGCCTATGGTGAAAAGGAAAATATCTTCCCATAAAAACTAGACAGAAGCAATCTCAGAATCTTCTTTGGGATATATGCACGCAGCTAACAGAGTTGAACCTTACTATTGACAGAGCAGTTTTGAAACAGTCTTTCTGTGGAATCTGCAAGTGGATATTTGGATAGCTTGGAGGATTTCGTTGGAAACGGGATTACGCATAAAAAGTAGACAGCAGCATCCTCAGAAACTTCTTTGTGATGTGTGCATTCAAGTCACAGAGTTGAACATTCCCTTTCGTACAGCAGTTTTGAAACACTCTTTCTGTAGTATCTGGAAGTGAACATTAGGACAGCTTTCAGGTCTAGGGTGAGAAAGGAAATACCTTCAAATAAAAACTAGACAGAAGCATTCTCATAAACTTGTTTGTGATGTCTGAACTCAGCTAACAGAGGTGGATCTTTCTTTTGATAGAGCAGTTCTGAAAAACACTTTTTTTTGAATCTGCAAGTGGACATTTGGATAGATTTGAAGATTTCGTTGGAAACGGGAATATCTTCATATCAAATCTAGACAGAAGCATTCTCAGAAACAGTCTTTGTGATGTTTGCATTCAACTCATAGAGTTGAACATTCCGTTTCAGAGAGCAGCTTTGAAGCACTCTTTTTGTAGTATGTGCAAGTGGATATTTGGAGCGCTCTGAGGCCTACGGTGAAAAAGCAAATATCTTCCCATAACCACTAGACAGAAACATTCTCAGAAACTCCTTTATGAAGTATGTACTCAACTAACAGAGAAGAACCTTCCTTTTGACAGAGCAGTTTTGATACACTCTTTTTGTAGAATCTGCAAGTGGATATTTGGATAGCTATGAAGATTTCGTTGGAAACGGGAATATCTTCCTATAAAATCTAGACAGAAGCATTCTCAGAAACTGCTCTGTGATGTCTGCATTCAAGTCACAGAGTTGAACATTGGTTTTCCTAGAGCAGGTTTGAAACGCTCTTTTTGTAGTATATGGAAGTGGACGTTTCGGACGTTTTGAGGCCCATGGTGATAAAGGGAATATCTTCCCCTACAAGCTAGAAAGAAGCATTCTGTGAAACTTGTTTGTGATGTGTGTACTCAACTAACAGGGTTCAACCTTTCTTTTTACAGAGCAGTTTTGAAACAATCTTTTTGTAGAATCTGCGAGGGGATATTTGGATAGATTTCAGGATTTCGTTGGAAACGGGAATATCTTCATAGAAAATCTCGACAGAAGCATTCTCAGAAACTTCTTTGTGATATGTGCATTCAAGTCACAGAGTTGAATATTCCCTTTCACAGAGTAGGTTTGAAACACTCTTTTTATAGTATCTGGAAGTGGACATTTGGAGCGCCTTGACACCTACGGTGAAAAGGGAAATATCTTCCCATAAAAACTAGACAGAAGCAATCTCAGAATCTTCTTTGGGATATATGCATGCAGCTAACAGAGTTGAACCTTTCTATTGACAGAGCAGTTTTGAAACAGTCTTTCTGTGGAATCTGCAAGTGGATATTTGGATAGCTGGGAGGATTTCGTTGGAAACGGGATTACGTATAAAAAGTAGACAGCAGCATCCTCAGAAACTTCTTTGTGATGTGTGCATTCAAGTCACAGAGTTGAACATTCCCTTTCGTACAGCAGTTTTGAAACACTCTTTCTGTAGTATCTGCAAGTGTACATTAGGACAGCTTTCAGGTCTATGGTGAGAAAGGAAATATCTTCATATGAAAACTAGACAGAAGCATTCTCATAAACTTGTTTGTGATGTGTGAACTCAGCTAACAACGGTGGATCTTTCTTTTGATAGAGCAGTTCTGAAAAACACTTTTTGTTGAATCTGCAAGTGGACATTTGGATAGTTTTGAAGATTTCCTTGGAAACGGGAATATCTTCATATCAAATCTAGACAGAAGCATTCTCAGAAACGTCTTTGCGATGTTTGCATTCAACTCATAGAGTTGAACATTCCGTTTCAGAGAGCAGCTTTGAGGCACTCTTTTTGTAGTATGTGCAAGTGGATATTTGGAGCGCTCTGAGGCCTACGGTGAAAAAGCAAATATCTTCCCATAACCACTAACAGAAACATTCTCAGAAACTCCTTTATGACGTATGCACTCACCTAACAGAAAAGAACCTTCCTTTTGACAGAGCAGTTTCGATACACTCTTTTTGTAGAATCTGCAAGTGGATATTTGGATAGCTGTGAAGATTTCGTTGGAAACGGGAATATCTTCCTATAAAATCTAGACAGAAGCATTCCCAGAAACTGCTCTGTGATGTCTGCATTCAAGTCACAGAGTTGAACATTGCCTTTCATAGAGCAGGTTTGAAACGCTCTTTTTGTAGTATATGGAAGTGGACTTATCGGACGGTTTGAGGCCCATGGTGATAAAGGGAATATCTTCCCCTACATGCTAGAAAGAAGCATTCTGTGAAACTTGTTTGTGATGTGTGTACTCAACTAACAGAGTTGAACCTTTCTTTTCACAGAGCAGTTTTGAAACACTCTTTTTGTAGAATCTGCGAGGGGATATTTGGATAGATTTCAGCATTTCGTTGGAAACGGGAATATCTTCATATAAAATACTCGACAGAAGCATTCTCAGAAACTACTTTGTGATATGTGCATTCAAGTCACAGAGTTGAATATTCCCTTTCACAGAGTAGGTTTGAAACACTCTTTTTGTAGTATCTGGAAGTGGACATTTGGAGCGCCTTGACACCTACGGTGAAAAGGGAAATATCTTCCCATAAAAACTAGACAGAAGCAATCTCAGAATCTTCTTTGGGATATATGCACGCAGCTAACAGAGTTGAACCTTTCTATTGACAGAGCAGTTTTGAAACAGTCTTTCTGTGGAATCTGCAAGTGGATATTTGGATAGCTTGGAGGATTTCGTTGGAAACGGGATTACGTATAATAAGTAGACAGCAGTATCCTCAGAAACTTCTTTGTGATGTGTGCATTCAAGTCACAGAGTTGAACATTCCCTTTCGTACAGCAGTTTTGAAACACTCTTTCTGTAGTATCTGGAAGTGAACATTAGGACAGCTTTCAGCTCTATGGTGAGAAACAAAATATCTTCAAATAAAAACTAGACAGAAGCATTCTCATAAACTTGTTTGTGATGTGTGAACTCAGCTAAGAGACGTGGATCTTTCTTTTGATAGAGCTGTTCTGAAAAACACGTTTTGTTGAATCTGCAAGTGGACATTTGGATAGATTTGAAGATTTCGTTGGAAACGGGAATATCTTCATATCAAATCTAGACAGAAGCATTCTCGGAAACGTCTTTGTCATGTTTGCATTCAACTCATAGAGTTGAACATTCCGTTTCAGAGAGCAGCTTTGAAGCACTCTTTTTGTAGTATGTGCAAGGGGATATTTGGAGCGCTCTGAGGCCTAAGGTGAAAAAGCAAATATCTTCCCATAACCACTAAACAGAAACATTCTCAGAAACTCCTTTATGACGTATGCACTCACCTAACAGAGAAGAACCTTCCTTCTGACAGAGCAGTTTTGATACACTCTTTTTGTAGAATCTGCAAGTGGATATTTGGATAGCTGTGAAGATTTCGTTGGAAACGGGAATATCTTCCTATAAAATCTAGACAGAAGCATTCTCAGTAAACTGCTCTGTGATGTCTGCATTCAAGTCACAGAGTTGAACATTGCCTTTCATAGAGCAGGTTTGAAACGCTCTTTTTGTAGTATATGGAAGTGGATGTTTCGGACGGTTGGAGGCCCATGGTGATAAAGGGAATATCTTCCCCTACAAGCTAGAAAGAAGCATTCTGTGAAACTTGTTTGTGAGGTGTGTACTCAACTAACAGAGTTGAACCTTTCTTTTTACAGAGCAGTTTTGAAACACTGTTTTTGTAGAATCTGCGAGGGGATATTTGGATAGATTTCAGGATTTCGTTGGAAACGGGAATATCTTCATATAAAATCTCGACAGAAGCATTCTCAGAAACTTCTTTGTGACATGTGCATTCAAGTCACAGAGTTGAATATTCCCTTTCACAGAGTAGGTTTGAAACACTCTTTTTGTAGTATCTGGAAGTGGACATTTGGAGCGCCTCGACGCCTACGGTGAAAAGGGAAATATCTTCCCATAAAAACTAGACAGAAGCAGTCTCAGAATCTTCTTTGGGATATATGGACACAGCTAACAGAGTTGAACTTTTCTATTGACAGAGCAGTTTTGAAACAGTCTTTCTGTGGAATCTGCAAGTGGATATTTGGATAGCTTGGAGGATTTCGTTGGAAACGGGATTACGTATAAAAAGTAGACAGCAGCATCCTCAGAAACTTCTTTGTGATGTGTGCATTCAAGTCACAGAGTTGAACATTCCCTTTCGTACAGCAGTTTTCAAACACTCTTTCTGTAGTATCTGGAAGTGAACATTAGGACAGCTTTCAGCTCTATGGTGAGAAAGGAAATATCTTCAAATAAAAACTAGAGAGAAGCATTCTCATAAACTTGTTTGTGATGTGTGAACTCAGCTAACAGAGGTGGATCTTTCTTTTGATAGAGCAGTTCTGAAAAACACTTTTTGTTGAATCTGCAAGTGGACATTTGGATAGATTTGAAGATTTCTTTGGAAACGGGAATATCTTCATATCAAATCTAGACAGAAGCATTCTCAGAAACGTCTTTGCGATGTTTGCATTCAACTCATAGAGTTGAACATTCCGTTTCAGAGAGCAGCTTTGAGGCACTCTTTTTGTAGTATGTGCAAGTGGATATTTGAAGCGCTCTGAGGCCTACGGTGAAAAAGCAAATATCTTCCCATAACCACTAACAGAAACATTCTCAGAAACTCCTTTATGACGTATGTACTCAACTAACAGAGAAGAACCTTCCTTTTGACAGAGCAGTTTTGATAGACTCTTTTTGTAGAATCTGCAAGTGGATATTTGGATAGCTGTGAAGATTTCGTTGGAAACTGGAATATCTTCCTATAAAATCTAGACAGAAGCATTCTCAGAAACTGCTCTGTGATGTCTGCATTCAAGTCACAGAGTTGAACATTGCCTTTCCTAGAGCAGGTTTGAAACGCTCTTTTTGTAGTATATGGAAGTGGACGTTTCGGACGGTTTGAGGCCCATGGTGATGAAGGGAATATCTTCCCCTACAAGCTAGAAAGAAGCATTCTGTGATACTTGTTTGTGATGTGTGTACTCAACTAACAGAGTTGAACCTTTCTTTTTACAGAACAGTTTTGAAACACTCTTTTTGTAGAATCTGAGAGGGGATATTTGGATAGATTTCAGGATTTCGTTGGAAACGGGAATATCTTCATATAAAATCTCGACAGAAGCATTCTCAGAAACTTCTTTGTGATATGTGCATTCAAGACACAGAGTTGAATATTCCCTTTCACAGAGTAGGTTTGAAACACTCTTTTTGTAGTATCTGGAAGTGGACATTTGGAGCGCCTTGACGCCTACGGTGAAAAGGGAAATATCTTCCCATAAAAACTAGACAGAAGCAATCTCAGAATCTTCTTTGGGATATATGCACGCAGCTAACAGAGTTGAACCTTTCTATCGACAGAGCAGTTTTGAAACAGTCTTTCTGTGGAATCTGCAAGTGGATATTTCGATAGCTTGGAGGATTTCGTTGGAAACGGGATTACGTATAAAAAGTAGACAGCAGCATCCTCAGAAACATCTTTGTGATGTGGGCATTCAAGTCACAGAGTTGAACATTCCCTTTCGTACAGCAGTTTTGAAACACTCTTTCTGTAGTATCTGGAAGTGAACATTAGGACAGCTTTCAGGTCTATGGTGAGACAGGAAATATCTTCAAATAAAAACTAGACAGAAGCATTCTCAAGAACTTGTTTGTTATGTGTGAACTCAGCTAACAGAGGTGGATGTTTCTTTTGATAGAGCAGTTTTGAAAAACACTTTTTGTTGAATCTGCAAGTGGACATTTGGATAGATATGAAGATTTCGTTGGAAACGGGAATATCTTCATATCAAATCTAGACAGAAGCATTCTCAGAAACGTCTTTGCGATGTTTGCATTCAACTCACAGAGTTGAACATTCCGTTTCAGAGAGCAGCTTTGAGGCACTCTTTTTGTACTATGTGCAACTGGATATTTGGAGCGCTCTGAGGCCTACGGTGAAAAAGAAAATATCTTCCCATAACCACTAGACAGAAACATTCTCAGAAACTCCTTTATGACGTATGCACTCACTTAACAGAAAAGAACCTTCCTTTTGACAGAGCAGTTTTGATACACTCTTTTTGTACAATCTGCAAGTGGATATTTGGATAGCTGTGAAGATTTCGTTGGAAACGGGAATATCTTCCTATAAAATCTAGACAGAAGCATTCTCAGAAACTGCTCTGTGATGTCTGCATTCAAGTCACAGAGTTGAACATTGCCTTTCATAGAGCAGGTTTGAAACGCTCTTTTTGTAGTATATGGAAGTGGACGTTACGGACGGTTTGAGGCCCATGGTGATAAAGGGAATATCTTCCCCTACAAGCTAGAAAGAAGCATTCTGTGAAACTTGTTTGTGATGTGTGTACTCAACTAACAGAGTTGAACCTTTCTTTTTACAGAGCAGTTTTGAAACACTCTTTTTGTAGAATCTGCGAGGGGATTTTTGGATAGATTTCAGGATTTCGTTGGAAACGGGAATATCTTCATAAAACATCTCGACAGAAGTATTCTCAGAAACTTCTTTGTGATATGTGCATTCAAGTCACAGAGTTGAATATTCCCTTTCACAGAGTAGGTTTGAAACACTCTTTTTGTAGTATCTGGAAGTGGACATTTGGAGCGCCTTGACGCCTACGGTGAAAAGGGAAATATCTTCTCATAAAAAGTAGACAGAAGCAATCTCAGAATCTTCTTTGGGATATATGCACGCAGCTAACAGAGTTGAACCTTTCTATTGACAGAGCAGTTTTGAAACAGTCTTTCTGTGGAATCTGCAAGTGGATATTTGGATAGCTTGGAGGATTTCCTTGGAAACGGGATTACGTACAAAAAGTAGACAGCAGCATCCTCAGAAACTTCTTTGTGATGTGTGCATTCAAGTCACAGAGTTGAACATTCCCTTTCGTACAGCAGTTTTGAAACACTCTTTCTGTAGTATCTGGAAGTGAACATTAGGACAGCTTTCAGGTCTATGGTGAGAAAGGAAATATCTTCAAATAAAAATTAGACAGAAGCATTCTGATAAACTTGTTTGTGAAGTGTGATCTCAGCTAACAGAGGTGGATCTTTCTTTTGATAGAGCAGTTCTGAAAAACACTTTGTTGAATCTGCAAGTGGACATTTGGATAGATTTGAAGATTTCGTTGGAAACGGGAATTTCTTCATATCAAATCTAGACAGAAGCATTCTCAGAAACGTCTTTGTCATGTTTGCATTCAACTCATAGAGTTGAACATTCCGTTTCAGAGAGCAGCTTTGAAGCACTCTTTTTGTAGTATGTGCAAGTGGATATTTGGAGCGCTCTGAGGCCTACGGTGAAAAAGCAAATATCTTCCCATAACCACTAGACAGAAACATTCTCAGAAACTCCTTTACGACGTATGCACTCACCTAACAGAGAAGAACCTTCCTTTTGACAGAGCAGTTTTGATACACTCTTTTTGTAGAATCTGCAAGTGGATATTTGGATAGCTGTGAAGATTTCGTTGGAAACGGGAATATCTTCCTATAAAACCTAGACAGAAGCATTCTCAGAAACTGCTCTGTGATGTCTGCATTCAAGTCACAGAGTTGAACATTGCCTTTCATAGAGCAGGTTTGAAACGCTCTTTTTGTAGTATATGGAAGTAGACGTTTGGAGTGCATTGACGCCTACGGTGAAAAGGGAAATATCTTCCCATAAAAACTAGACAGAAGCATTCTGTGAAACTTGTTTGTGATGTGTGTACTCAACTAACAGAGTTGAACCTTTCTTTTTACAGAGCAGTTTTGAAACACTCTTTTTGTAGAATCTGCGATGGGATATTTGGATACATTTCAGCATTTCGTTGGAAACGGGAATATCTTCATATAAAATACTCGACAGAAGCATTCTCAGAAACTTCTTTGTGATATGTGCATTCAAGTCACAGAGTTGAATATTCCCTTTCACAGAGTAGGTTTGAAACACTCTTTTTGTAGTATCTGGAAGTGGACATTTGGAGCGCCTTGACGCCTTCGGTGAAAAGGGAAATATCTTCCCATAAAAACTAGACAGAAGCAATCTCAGAATCTTCTTTGGGATATATGCACGCAGCTAACAGAGTTGAACCTTTCTATTGACAGTGCAGTTTTGAAATAGTCTTTCTGTGGAATCTGCAAGTAGATATTTGGATAGCTAGGAGGATTTCGTTGGAAACGGGATTACGTATAAAAAGTAGACAGCAGCATCCTCAGAAACTTCTTTGTGATGTGTGCATTCAAGTCACAGAGTTGAACATTCCCTTTCGTAGAGCAGTTTTGAAACACACTTTCTGTAGTATCTGGAAGTGAACATTAGGACAGCTTTCAGGTCTATGGTGAGAAAGGAAATATCTTCAAATAAAAACTAGACAGAAGCATTCTCAAGAACTTGTTTGTTATGTGTGAACTCAGCTAACAGAGGTGGATGTTTCTTTTGATAGAGCAGTTCTGAAAAACACGTTTTGTTGAATCTGCAAGTGGACATTTGGATAGATTTGAAGATGTCGTTGGAAACGGGAATATCTTCATATCAAATCTAGACAGAAGCATTCTCAGAAACGTCTTTGTGATGTTTGCATTCAACTCATAGAGTTGAACATTCCCTTTCAGAGAGCAGCTTTGAAGCACTCTTTTTGTAGTATGTGCAAGTGGATATTTGGAGCGCTCTGAGGCCTAAGGTGAAAAAGCAAATATCTTCCCATAACCACTAGACAGAAACATTCTCAGAAACTCCTTTATGACGTATGCACTCACCTAACAGAGAAGAACCTTCCTTTTGACAGAGCAGTTTTGATACACTCTTTTTGTAGAATCTGCAAGTGGATATTTGGATAGCTGTGAAGATTTCGTTGGAAACGGGAATATCTTTCTATAAAATCTACACAGAAGCATTCTCAGAAACTGCTCTGTGATGTCTGCATTCAAGTCACAGAGTTGAACACTGCCTTTCCTAGAGCAGGTTTGAAACGCTCTTTTTGTAGTATATGGAAGTGGACGTTTCGGACGGTTTGAGGCCCATAGTGATAAAGGGAATATCTTCCCCTACAAGCTAGAAAGAAGCATTCTGTGAAACTTGTTTGTGATGTGTGTAGTCAACTAACAGAGTTGAACCTTTCTTTTTACAGAGCAGTTTTGAAACACTCTTTTTGTAGAATCTGCGAGGGGATATTTGGATAGATTTCAGGATTTCGTTGGAAAGGGGAATATCTTCATATAAAATCTCGACAGAAGCATTCTCAGAAACTTCTTTGTGATATGTGCATTCAAGTCACAGAGTTGAATATTCCCTTTCACAGAGTAGGTTTGAAACACTCTTTTTGTAGTATCTGGAAGTGGACATTTGGAGCGCCTTGACGCCCACGGTGAAAAGGGAAATATCTTCCCATCAAAACTAGACAGAAGCAATCTCAGAATCTTCTTTGGGATATATGCACGCAGCTAACAAAGTTGAACCTTTCTATTGACAGAGCAGTTTTGAAACAGTCTTTCTGTGGAATCTGCAAGTGGATATTTGGATAGATTGGAGGATTTCGTTGGAAACGGGATTACGTATAAAAAGTAGACAGCAGCATCCTCAGAAACTTCTTTGTGATGTGTGCATTCAAGTCACAGAGTTGAACTTTCCCTTTCGTACAGCAGTTTTGAAACACTCTTTCTGTAGTATCTGGGAGTGAACATTAGGACAGCTTTCAGGTCTATGGTGAGAAAGGAAATATCTTCAAATAAAAACTAGACAGAAGCGTTCTCATAAACTTGTTTGTGATGTGTGAACTCAGCTAACAGAGGTGGATCTTTCTTTTGATAGAGCAGTTCTGAAAAACACTTTTTGTTGAATCTGAAAGTGGACATTTGGATAGATTTGAAGATTTCGTTGGAAACGGGAATATCTTCATATCAAATCTAGACAGAAGCATTCTCAGAAACGTCTTTGTGATGTTTGCATTCAACTCATAGAGTTGAACATTCCCTTTCAGAGAGCAGCTTTGAAGCACTCTTTTTGTAGTATGTGCAAGGGGATATTTGGAGCGCTCTGAGGCCGACGGTGAAAAAGCAAATATCTTCCCATAACCACTAGACAGAAACATTCTCAGAAACTCCTTTATGACGTATGTACTCAACTAACAGAGAAGAACATTCCGTTTGACAGAGCAGTTTTGATACACTCTTTTTGTAGAATCTGCAAGTGGATATTTGGATAGCTGTGAAGGTTTCGTTGGAAACGGAAATATCTTCCTATAAAATCTAGACAGAAGCATTCTCAGAAACTGCTCTGTGATGTCTGCATTCAAGTCACAGAGTTGAACATTGTCTTTCATACAGCAGGTTTGAAGCGCTCTTTTTGTAGTATATGGAAGTGGACGTTTCGGACGGTTTGAGGCCCATGGTGATAAAGGGAATATCTTCCCCTACAAGCTAGAAAGAAGCATTGTGTGAAACTTGTTTGTGATGTGTGTACTCAACTAACAGAGTTGAACCTTTCTTTTTACAGAGCAGTTTTGAAACACTCTTTTTGTAGAATCTGCGAGGGGATATTTGGATAGATTTCAGGATTTTGTTGGAAACCGGAATATCTTCATATAAAATCTCGACAGAAGCATTCTCAGAAACTTCTTTGTGATATGTGTGTTCAAGTCACAGAGTTGAATACTCCCTTTCACAGAGTAGGTTTGAAACACTCTTTTTGTAGTATCTGGAAGTGGACATTTGGAGCGCCTTGACGCCTACGGTGAAAAGGGAAATATCTTCCCATAAAAACTAGACAGAAGCAATCTCAGAATCTTCCTTGGGATATATGCACGCAGCTAACAGAGTTGAACCTTTCTATTGACAGAGCAGTTTTGAAACAGTCTTTCTGTGGAATCTGCAAGTGGATATTTGGATAGATTGGAGGATTTCGTTGGAAACGGGATTACGTATAAAAAGTAGACAGCAGCATCCTCAGAAACTTCTTTGTGATGTGTGCATTCAAGTCACAGAGTTGAACATTCCCTTTCGTACAGCAGTTTTGAAACACTCTTTGTGTAGTATCTGGAAGTGAACATTAGGACAGCTTTCAGGTCTATGGTGAGAAAGGAAATATCTTCAAATAAAGACTAGACAGAAGCATTCTCATAAACTTGTTTGTGATGTGTGAACTCAGCTTACAGAGGTGGATCTTTCTTTTGATAGAGCAGTTCTGAAAAACACTTTTTGTTGAATCTGCAAGTGGACATTTGGATAGATTTGAAGATTTCGTTGGAAACGGGAATATCTTCATATCAAATCTAGACAGAAGCATTCTCAGTAAACGTCTTTGTGATGTTTGCATTCAACTCATAGAGTTGAACATTCCCTTTCAGAGAGCAGCTTTGAAGCACTCTTTTTGTAGCATGTGCAAGTGGACATTTGGAGCGCCCTGAGGCCTACGGGGAAAAAGCAAATATCTTCCCATAACCACTAGACAGAAACATTCTCAGAAACTCCTTTATGACGTATGCACTCACCTAACAGAGAAGAACCTTCCTTTTGACAGAGCAGTTTTGATACACTCTTTTTGTAGAATCTGCAAGTGGATATTTGGATACCTGTGAAGATTTCGTTGGAAACGGGAATATCTTCCTATAACATCTAGACAGAAGCATTCTCAGAAACTGCTCTGTGATGTCTGCATTCAAGTCACAGAGTTGAACATTGCCTTTCCTAGATCAGGTTTGAAACGCTCTTTTTGTAGTATATGGAAGTGGACGTTTCGGACGGTTTGAGGCCCATGGTGATAAAGGGAATATCTTCCCCTACAAGCTAGAAAGAAGCATTCTGTGAAACTTGTTTGTGATGTGTGTACTCAAGTAACAGAGTTGAACCTTTCTTTTTACAGAGCAGTTTTGAAACACTCTTTTTGTAGAATCTGCGAGGGGATATTTGGATAGATTTCAGGATTTCGTTGGAAACGGGAATATCTTCATATAAAATCTCGACAGAAGCATTCTCAGGAACTTCTTTGTGATATGTGCATTCAAGTCACAGAGTTGAATATTCCCTTTCACAGAGTAGGTTTGAAACACTCTTTTTGTAGTATCTGGAAGTGGACATTTGGAGCGCCTTGACACCTACGGTGAAAAGGGAAATATCTTCCCATAAAAACTAGACAGAAGCAATCTCAGAATCTTCTTTGGGATATATGCACGCAGCTAACAGAGTTGAACGTTTCTATTGACAGAGCAGTTTTGAAACAGTCTTTCTGTGGAATCTGCAAGTGGATATTTGGATAGCTTGGAGGATTTCGTTGGAAACGGGATTACGTATAAAAAGTAGACAGCAGCATCCTCAGAAACTTCTTTGTGATGTGTGCATTCAAGTCACAGAGTTGAACATTCCCTTTCGTACAGCAGTTTTCAAACACTCTTTCTGTAGTATCTGGAAGTGAACATTAGGACAGCTTTCAGCTCTATGGTGAGAAAGGAAATATCTTCAAATAAAAACTAGACAGAAGCATTCTGATAAACTTGTTTGTGAAGTGTGAACTCAGCTAACGGAGGTGGATCTTTCTTTTGATAGAGCAGTTCTGAAAAACACTTTTTGTTGAATCTGCAAGTGGACATTTGGATAAATTTGAAGATTTCGTTGGAAACGGGAATATCTTCATATCAAATCTAGACAGAAGCATTCTCAGAAACGTCTTTGTGATGTTTGCATTCAACTCATAGAGTTGAACATTCCGTTTCAGAGAGCAGCTTTGAAGCACTCTTTTTGTAGTATGTGCAAGTGGATATTTGGAGCGCTGTGAGGTCTACGGTGAAAAAGCAAATATCTTCCCATAACCACTAGACTGAAACATTCTCAGAAACTCCTTTACGACGTATGCACTCACCTAAGAGAGAAGAACCTTCCTTTTGACAGAGCAGTTTTGATACACTCTTTTTGTAGAATCTGCAAGTGGATATTTGGATAGCTGTGAAGATTTCGTTGGAAACGGGAATATCTTCCTATAAAATCTAGACAGAAGCATTCTCAGAAACTGCTCTGTGATGTCTGCATTCAAGTCACTGAGTTGAACATTGCCTTTCATAGAGCAGGTTTGAAACGCTCTTTTTGTACTATATGGAAGTGGACGTTTCGGACGGTTTGAGGCCCATGGTGATAAAGGGAATATCTTCCCCTACAAGCTAGAAAGAAGCATTCTGTGAAACTTGTTTGTGATGTGTGTACTCAAGTAACAGAGTTGAACCTTTCTTTTTACAGAGCAGTTTTGAAACACTCTTTTTGTAGAATCTGCGAGGGGATATTTGGAGAGATTTCAGGATTTCGTTGGAAACGGGAATATCTTCATATAAAATCTCGACAGAAGCATTCTCAGAAACTTCTTTGTGATATGTGCATTCAAGTCACAGAGTTGAATATTCCCTTTCACAGAGTAGGTTTGAAACACTCTTTTTGTAGTATCTGGAAGTGGACATTTGGAGCCCCTTGACGCCTACGGTGAAAAGGGAAATATCTTCCCATAAAAACTAGACAGAAGCAATCTCAGAATCTTCTTTGGGATATATGCACGCAGCTAACAGAGTTGAACCTTTCTATTGACAGAGCAGTTTTGAAACAGTCTTTCGGTGGAATCTGCAAGTGGATATTTGGATAGCTTGGAGGATTTCGTTGGAAACGGGATTACGTATAAAAAGTAGACAGCAGCATCCTCAGAAACATCCTTGTGATGTGTGCATTCAAGTCACAGAGTTGAACATTCCCTTTCGTACAGCAGTTTTGAAACACTCTTTCTGTAGTATCTGGAAGTGAACTTTAGGACACCTTTCAGGTCTATAGTGAGAAAGGATATATCTTCAAATAAAAACTAGACGGAAGCATTCTCATAAACTTGTTTGTGATGTGTGAACTCAGCTAACAGAGGCGGATCTTTCTTTTGATAGAGCAGTTCGGAAAAACACTTTTTGTTGAATCTGCAAGTGGACATTTGGATAGATTTGAAGATTTCCGTTGGAAACGGGAATATCTTCATATCAAATCTAGACAGAAGCATTCTCAGAAACGTCTTTGCGATGTTTGCATTCAACTCATAGAGTTGAACATTCCGTTTCAGAGAGCAGCTTTGAGGCACTCTTTTTGTAGTATCTGCAAGTGGATATTTGGAGCGCTCTGAGGCCTACGGTGAAAAAGCAAATATCTTCCCATAACCACTAGACAGAAACATTCTCAGAAACTCCTTTATGACGTATGCACTTACCTAACAGAGAAGAACCTTCCTTTTGACAGAGCAGTTTTGATACACTCTTTTTGTAGAATCTGCAAGTGGATATTTGGATAGCTGTGAAGATTTCGTTGGAAACGGGAATATCTTCCTATAAAATCTACACAGAAGCATTCTCAGAAACTGCTCTGTGATGTCTGCATTCAAGTCACAGAGTTGAACATTGCCTTTCATAGAGCAGGTTTGAAACGCTCTTTTTGTAGTATATGGAAGTGGACGTTTCGGACAGTTTGAGGCCCATGGTGATAAAGGGAATATCTTCCCCTACAAGCTAGAAAGAAGCATTGTGTGAAACTTGTTTGTGATGTGTGTACTCAACTAACAGAGTTGAACCTTTCTTTTTACAGAGCAGTTTTGAAACACTCTTTTAGTAGAATCTGCAAGGGGATATTTGGATAGATTTCAGGATTTCGTTGGAAACGGGAATATCTTCATATAAAAATTCGACAGAAGCATTCTCAGAAACTTCCTTGTGATATGTGCATTCAGGTCACAGAGTTGAATATTCCCTTTCACAGAGTAGGTTTGAAACACTCTTTTTGTAGTATCTGGAAGTGGACATTTGGAGCGCCTTGACGCCTACGGTGAAAAGGGAAATATCTTCCCATAAAAACTAGACAGAAGCAATCTCAGAATCTTCTTTGGGATATATGCACGCAGCTAACAGAGTTGAACCTTTCTATTGACAGAGCAGTTTTGAAACAGTCTTTCTGTGGAATCTGCAAGTGGATATTTGGATAGCTTTGAGGATTTCGTTGGAAACGGGATTACGTATAAAAAGTAGACAGCAGCATCCTCCGAAACATCTTTGTGATGTGTGCATTCAAGTCACAGAGTTGAACATTCCCTTTCGTACAGCAGTTTTGAAACACTCTTTCTGTAGTATCTGGAAGTGAACATTAGGACAGCTTTCAGGTCTATGGTGAGAAAGGAAATACCTTCCAATAAAAACTAGACAGAAGCATTCTCATAAACTTGTTTGTGATGTCTGAACTCAGCTAACAGACGTGGATATTTCTTTTGATACAGCAGTTTTGAAAAACACTTTTTGTTGAATCTGCAAGTGGACATTTGGATAGATTTGAAGATTTCGTTGGAAACGGGAATATCTTCATATCAAATCTAGACAGAAGCATTCTCAGAAACGTCTTTGTGATATTTGCATTCAACTCATAGAGTTGAACATTCCCTTCCAGAGAGTAGCTTTGAAGCACTCTTTTTGTAGCATGTGCAAGTGGACATTTGGAGCGCCCTGAGGCCTACGGGTAAAAAGCAAATATCTTCCCATAACCACTAGACAGAAACATTCTCAGAAACTCCTTTATGACGTATGCACTCACCTAACAGAGAAGAACCTTCCCTTTTGACAGAGCAGTTTTGATACACTCTTTTTGTAGAATCTGCAAGTGGATATTTGGATAGCTGTGAAGATTTCGTTGGAAACGGGAATATCTTCCTATAAAATCTAGACAGAAGCATTCTCAGAAACTGCTCTCTGATGTCTGCATTCAAGTCACAGAGTTGAACATTGTCTTTCATAGAGCAGGTTTGAAACGCTCTTTTTGTAGTATATGGAAGTGGACGTTTCGGACGGTTTGAGGCCCATGGTGATAAAGGGAATATCTTCCCCTACAAGCTAGAAAGAATCATTCTGTGAAACTTGTTTGTGATGTGTGTACTCAAGTAACAGAGTTGAACCTTTCTTTTTACAGAGCAGTTTTGAAACACTCTTTTTGTAGAATCTGCGAGGGGATATTTGGAGAGATTTCAGGATTTCGTTGGAAACGGGAATATCTTCATATAAAATCTCGACAGAAGCATTCTCAGAAACTTCTTTGTGATATGTGCATTCAAGTCACAGAGTTGAATATTCCCTTTCACAGAGTAGGTTTGAAACACTCTCTTTGTAGTATCTGGAAGTGGACATTTGGAGCGCCTTGACGCCTACGGTGAAAAGGGAAATATCTTCCCATAATAACTAGACAGAAGCAATCTCAGAATCTTCTTTGGGATATATGCACGCAGCTAACAGAGTTGAACCTTTCTATTGACAGAGCAGTTTTGAAACAGTCTTTCTGTGGAATCTGCAAGTGGACATTTGGATAGCTTGGAGGATTTCGTTGGAAACGGGATTACGTATAAAAAGTAGACAGCAGCATCCTCAGAAACTTCTTTGTGATGTGTGCATTCAAGTCACAGAGTTGAACATTCCCTTTCGTACAGCAGTTTTGAAACACTCTTTCTGTAGTATCTGGAAGTGAACACTAAGACAGCTTTCAGCTCTATGGTGAGAAAGGAAATATCTTCAAATAAAAACTAGACAGAAGCATTCTCATAAACTTGTTTGTGATGTGTGAACTCAGCTAACGGACGTGGATCTTTCTTTTGATACAGCAGTTTTGAAAAACACTTTTTGTTGAATCTGCAAGTGGACATTTGGATAGATTTGAAGATTTCGTTGGAAACGGGAATATCTTCATATCAAGTCCAGACAGAAGCATTCTCAGAAACGTCTTTGTGATGTTTGCATTCAACTCATAGATTTGAACATTCCGTTTCAGAGAGCAGCTGTGAAGCACTCTTTTTGTAGTATGTGCAAGGGGATATTTGGAGCGCTCTGAGGCCTACGGTGAAAAAGCAAATATCTTCCCATAACCACTAGACAGAACATTCTCAGAAACTCCTTTATGACGTATGCACTCACCTAACAGAGAAGAACCTTCCTTTTGACAGAGCAGTTTTGATACACTCTTTTTGTAGAATCTGCAAGTGGATATTTGGATAGCTGTGAAGATTTCGTTGGAAACGGGAATATCTTCCTATAAAATCTAGACAGAAGCATTCTCAGAAACTGCTCTGTGATGTCTGCATTCAAGTCACAGAGTTGAACATTGCCTTTCATAGAGCAGGTTTCAAACGCTCTTTTTGTAGTATATGGAAGTGGACGTTTCGGACGGTTTGAGGCCCATGGTGATGAAGGAAATATCTTCCCCTACAAGCTAGAAAGAAGCATTGTGTGAAACTTGTTTGTGATGTGTGTACTCAACTAACAGAGTTGAACCTTTCTTTTTACACAGCAGTTTTGAAACACTCTTTTTGTAGAATCTGCGAGGGGATATTTGGATAGATTTCAGGATTTCGTTGGAAACGGGAATATCTTCATATAAAATCTCGACAGAAGCATTCTCAGGAAACTTCTTTGTGATATGTGCATTCAAGTCACAGAGTTGAATATTCCCTTTCACAGAGTAGGTTTGAAACACTCTTTTTGTAGTATCTGGAAGTGGACATTTGGAGCGCCTTGACACCTACGGTGAAAAGGGAAATATCTTCCCATCAAAACTAGACAGAAGCAATCTCAGAATTTTCTTTGGGATATATGTACGCAGCTAATAGAGTTGAACCTTTCTATTGACAGAGCAGTTTTGAAACAGTCTTTCTGTGGAATCTGCAAGTGGATATTTGGATAGCTTGGAGGATTTCGTTGGAAACGGGATTACGTATAAAAAGTAGACAGCAGCATCCTCAGAAACATCCTTGTGATGTGTGCATTCAAGTCACAGAGTTGAACATTCCCTTTCGTACAGCAGTTTTGAAACACTCTTTCTGTAGTATCTGGAAGTGAACATTAGGACAGCTTTCAGGTCTATGGTGAGAAAGGAAATATCTTCAAATAAAAACTAGACGGAAGCATTCTCATAAACTTGTTTGTGATGTGTGAACTCAGCTAACAGAGGTTGGATCTTTCTTTTGATAGAGCAGTTCTGAAAAACACTTTTTGTTGAATCTGCAAGTGGACATTTGGATAGATTTGAAGATTTCGTTGGAAACGGGAATATCTTCATATCAAATCTAGACAGAAGCATTCTCAGAAACGTCTTTGTGATGATTGCATTCAACTCATAGAGTTGAACATTCCGTTTCAGAGAGCAGCTTTGAAGCACTCTTTTTGTAGTATGTGCAAGTGGATATTTGGAGTGCTCTGGGGCTTACGGTGAAAAAGCAAATATCTTCCCATAACCACTAGACAGAAACATTCTCAGAAACTCCTTTATGACGTATGCACTCACCTAACAGAGAAGAACCTTCTTTTTGACAGAGCAGTTTTGATACACTCTTTTTGTAGAATCTGCAAGTGGATATTTGGATAGCTGTGAAGATTTCTTTGGAAACGGGAATATCTTCCTATAAAGTATAGACAGAAAGCATTCTCAGAAACTGCTCTGTGATGTCTGCATTCAAGTCACAGAGTTGAACATTGCCTTTCATAGAGCAGGTTTGAAATGCTCTTTTTGTAGTATATGGAAGTGGACGTTTCAGACGGTTTGAGGCCCATGGTGATAAAGGGAATATCTTCCCCTACAAGCTAGAAAGAGCATTCTGTGAAACTTGTTTGTGATGTGTGTACTCAACTAACAGAGTTGAACCTTTCTTTTTACAGAGCGGTTTTGAAACACTCTTTTTGTAGAATCTGCGAGGGGATATTTCGATAGATTTCAGGATTTCGTTGGAAACGGGAATATCTTCATATAAAATCTCGACAGAAGCATTCTCAGAAACTTCTTTGTGATATCTGCCTTCAAGTCACAGAGTTGAATATTCCCTTTCACAGAGTAGGTTTGAAACACTCTTTTTGTAGTATCTGGAAGTGGACATTTGGAGCGCCTTGACGCCTATGGTGAAAAGGGAAATATCTTCCCATAAAAACTAGACAGAAGCAATCTCAGAATCTTCTTTGGGATATATGCACGCAACTAACAGAGTTGAACCTTTCTATTGACAGAGCAGTTTTGAAACAGTCTTTCTGTGGAATCTGCAAGTGGATATTTGGATAGCTTGGAGGATTTCGTTGGAAACGGGATTACGTATAAAAAGTAGACAGCAGCATCCTCAGAAACTTCTTTGTGATGTGTGCATTCAAGTCACAGAGTTGAACATTCCCTTTCATACAGCAGTTTCGAAACACTCTTTCTGTAGTATCTGGAAGTGAACTTTAGGAGAGCTTTCAGGTCTATAGTGAGAAAGGTTATATCTTCAAATAAAAACTAGACAGAAGCATTCTCATCAACTTGTTTGTGATGTGTGAACTCAGCTAACAGAGGTGGATCTTTCTTTTGATAGAGCAGTTCTGAAAAACACGTTTTGTTGAATCTGCAAGTGGACATTTGGATAGATTTGAAGATTTCGTTGGAAACGGGAATATCTTCATATCAAATCTAGACAGAAGCATTCTCAGAAACGTCTTTGTGATGTTTGCATTCAACTCATAGAGTTGAACATTCCGTTTCAGAGAGCAGCTTTGAAGCACTCTTTTTGTAGTATGTGCAAGAGGATATTTGGAGCGCTCTGAGGCCTACGGTGAAAAAGCAAATATCTTCCCATAACCACTAGACAGAAACATTCTCAGAAACTCCTTTATGACGTATGCACTCACCTAACAGAGAAGAACCTTCCTTTTGACAGAGCAGTTTTGATGCACTCTTTTTGTAGAATCTGCAAGTGGATATTTGGATAGCTGTGAAGATTTCGTTGGAAACGGGAATATCTTCCTATAAAATCTAGACAGAAGCATTCTCAGAAACTGCTCTGTGATGTCTGCATTCAAGTCACAGAGTTGAACATTGCCTTTCATAGAGCAGGTTTGAAATGCTCTTTTTGTAGTATATGGAAGTGGACGTTTCAGTCGGTTTGAGGCCCATGGTGATAAAGGGAATATCGTCCCCTACAAGCTAGAAAGAAGCATTCTGTGAAACTTGTTTGTGATGTGTGTACTCAACTAACAGAGTTGAACCTTTCTTTTTACAGAGCAGTTTTGAAACTCTCTTTTTGTAGAATCTGCGAGGGGATATTTGGATAGATTTCAGGATTTCGTTGGAAACGGGAATATCTTCATATAAAATCTCGACAGAAGCATTCTCAGAAACTTCTTTGTGATAGGTGCATTCAAGTCACAGAGTTGAATATTCCCTTTCACAGAGTAGGTTTGAAACACTCTTTTTGTAGTATCTGGAAGTGGACATTTGGAGCGCCTTGACGCCTACGGTGAAAAGGGAAATATCTTCCCATAAAAACTAGACAGAAGCAATCTCAGAATCTTCTTTGGGATATATGCACGCAGCTAACAGAGTTGAACCTTTCTATTGACAGAGCAGTTTTGAAACAGTCTTTCTGTGGAATCTGCAAGTGGATATTTGGAGAGCTTGGAGGATTTCGTTGGAAACGGGATTACGTATAAAAAGTAGACAGCAGCATCCTCCGAAACTTCTTTGTGATGTGTGCATTCAAGTCACAGAGTTGAACATTCCCTTTCGTACAGCAGTTTTGAAACACTCTTTCTGTAGTATCTGGAAGTGAACATTAGGACAGCTTTCAGCTCTATGGTGAGAAAGGAAATATCTTCAAATAAAAACTACACAGAAGCATTCTCATAAACTTGTTTGTGATGTGTGAACACAGCTAACAGAGGTGGATCTTTCTTTTGATAGAGCAGTTCTGAAAAACACTTTTTGTTGAATCTGCTAGTGGACATTTGGATAGATTTGAAGATTTCGTTGGAAACGGGAATATCTTCATATCAAATCTAGACAGAAGCATTCTCAGAAACGTCTTTGTGATGTTTGCATTCAACTCATAGAGTTGAACATTCCGTTTCAGAGAGCAGCTTTGAGGCACTCTTTTTGTAGTATGTGCAAGTGGATATTTGGACCGCTCTGAGGCCTGCGGTGAAAAAGCAAATATCTTCCCATAACCACTAGACAGAAATATTGTCAGAAACTCCTTTATGACGTTTGCACTCACCTAACAGAGAAGAACCTTCCTTTTGACAGAGCAGTTTTGATACACTCTTTTTGTAGAATCTGCAAGTGGATATTTGGATAGCTGTGAAGATTTCGTTGGAAACGGGAATATCTTCCTATAAAATCTAGACAGAAGCATTCTCAGAAACTGCTCTGTGATGTCTGCATTCAAGTCACAGAGTTGAACATTGCCTTTCATAGAGCAGGTTAGAAACGCTCTTTTTGTAGTATATGGAAGTGGATGTTTCGGACGGTTGGAGGCCCATGGTGATAAAGGGAATATCTTCCCCTACAAGCTAGAAAGAAGCATTCTGTGAAACTTCTTTGTGATGTGTGTACTCAACTAACAGAGTTGAACCTTTCTTTTTACAGAGCAGTTTTGAAACACTCTTTTTGTAGAATCTGCGAGGGGATATTTGAATAGATTTCAGGATTTCGTTGGAAACGGGAATATCTTCATAGAAAATCTCGACAGAAGCATTCTCAGAAACTTCTTTGTGATATGTGCATTCAAGTCACAGAGTTGAATATTCCCTTTCACAGAGTAGGTTTGAAACACTCTTTTTGTAGTATCTGGAAGTGGACATTTGGAGCGCCTTGACGCCTACGGTGAAAAGGAAAATATCTTCTCATAAAAAGTAGACAGAAGCAATCTCAGAATCTTCTTTGGAATATATGCATGCAGCTAACAGAGTTGAACATTTCTATTGACAGAGCAGTTTTGAAACAGTCTTTCTGTGGAATCTGCAAGTGGATATTTGGATAGCTTGGAGGATTTCGTTGGAAACGGGATTACGTATAAAAAGTAGACAGCAGCATCCTCAGAAACTTCCTTGTGATGCGTGCATTCAAGTCACAGAGTTGAATATTCCCTTTCGTACAGCAGTTTTGAAACACTCTTTCTGTAGTATCTGGAAGTGAACTTTAGGAGAGCTTTCAGGTCTATAGTGAGAAAGGAAATATCTTCAAATAAAAACTAGACAGAAGCATTCTGATAAACTTGTTTGTGAAGTGTGAACTCAGATAACAGAGTTGGATCTTTCTTTTGATAGAGCATTTCTGAAAAACACTTTTTGTTGAATCTGCAAGTGGACATTTGGATAGATTTGAAGATTTCGTTGGAAACGGGAATATCTTCATATCAAATCTAGACGGAAGCATTCTCAGAAACGTCTTTGTGATGTTTGCATTCAACTCATAGAGTTGAACATTCCGTTTCAGAGAGCAGCTTTGAAGCACTCTTTTTGTAGTATGTGCAAGAGGATATTTGGAGCGCTCTGAGGCCTACGGTGAAAAAGCAAATATCTTCCCATAACCAGTAGACAGAAACATTCTCAGAAACTCCTTTATGACGTGTGCACTCACCTAACAGAGAAGAACCTTCCTTTTGACAGAGCAGTTTTGATACACTCTTTTTGTAGAATCTGCAAGTGGATATTTGGATAGCTGTGAAGATTTCGTTGGAAACGGGAATATCTTCCTATAAAATGTAGACAGAAGCATTCTCAGAACCTGCTCTGTGATGTCTGCATTCAAGTCACAGAGTTGAACATTGCCTTTCCTAGAGCAGGTTTTAACGCTCTTTTTGTAGTATATGGAAGTGGACGTTTCGGACGGTTTGAGGCCCATGGTGATAAAGGGAATATCTTCCCCTACAAGCTAGAAAGAAGCATTCTGTGAAACTTGTTTGTGATGTGTGTACTCAACTAACAGAGTTGAACCTTTCTTTTTACAGAGCAGTTTTGAAACACTCTTTTTGTAGAATCTGCGAGGGGATATTTGGATAGATTTCAGGATTTCGTTCGAAACGGGAATATCTTCATATAAAATCTCGACAGAAGCATTCTCAGAAACTTCTTTGTGATATCTGCATTCAAGTCACAGAGTTGAATATTCCCTTTCACAGAGTAGGTTTGAAACACTCTTTCTGTAGTATCTGGAAGTGGACATTTGGAGCGCCTTGACGCCTATGGTGAAAAGGGAAATATCTTCCCATAAAAACTAGACAGAAGCAATCTCAGAATCTTCTTTGGGATATATGCACGCAGCTAACAGAGTTGAATCTTTCTATTGACAGAGCAGTTTTGAAACAGTCTTTCTGTGTAATCTGCAAGTGGATATTTGGTTAGATTGGAGGATTTCGTTGGAAACGGGATTACGTATAAATAGTAGACAGCAACATCCTCAGAAACTTCTTTGTGATGTGTGCATTCAAGTCACAGAGTTGAACATTCCCTTTCGTACAGCAGTTTTGAAACACTCTTTCTGTAGTATCTGGAAGTGAACATTAGGACAGCTTTCAGGTCTATGGTGAGAAAGGAAATATCTTCAAATAAAAACTAGACAGAAGCATTCTCATAAACTTGTTTGTGATGTCTGAACTCAGCTAACAGAGGTGGATCTTTCTTTTGATAGAGCAGTTCTGAAAAACACTTTTTGTTGAATCTGCAAGTGGACATTTGGATAGATTTGAAGATTTCGTTGGAAACGGGAATATCTTCATATCAAATACTAGACAGAAGCATTCTCAGAAACGTCTTTCTGATGTTTGCATTCAACTCATAGAGTTGAACATTCCGTTTCAGAGAGCAGCTTTGAAGCACTCTTTTTGTAGTATGTGCAAGAGGATATTTGGAGCGCTCTGAGGCCTACGGTGAAAAAGCAAATATCTTCCCATAACCACTAGACAGAAGCATTCTCAGAAACTTCTTTATGACGTATGTACTCAACTAGCAGAGAAGAACTTTCCTTTTGACAGAGCATTTTTGATACACTCTTTTTGTACTATCTGCAAGTGGATATTTGGATAGCTGTGAAGATTTCGTTGGAAACGGGAATATCTTCCTATAAAGTCTGGACAGAAGCATTCTCAGAAACTGCTCTGTGATGTCTGCATTCAAGTCACAGAGTTGAACATTGCCTTTCATAGAGCAGGTTTCAAACACTCTTTTTTTAGTATATGGAAGTGGACGTTTCGGACGGTTTGAGAACCATGGTGATAAAGGAAATATCTTCCCCTACAAGCTAGAAAGAAGCATTCTGTGAAACTTGTTTGTGATGTGTGTACTCAACTAACAGAATTGAACCTTTCTTTTTACAGAGCAGTTTTGAAACACTCTTTTTGTAGAATCTGCGAGGGGATATTTGGATAGATTTCAGGATTTCGTTGGAAACGGGAATATCTTCATATAAAATCTCGACAGAAGCATTCTCAGAAACTTCTTTGTGATATGTGCATTCAAGTCACAGAGTTGAATATTCCCTTTCACAGAGTAGGTTTGAAACACTCTTTTTGTAGTATCTGGAAGTGGACATTTGGAGCGCCTTGACACCTACGGTGTAAAGGGAAATATCTTCCCATAAAAACTAGACAGAAGCAATCTCAGAATCTTCTTTGGGATATATGTACGCAGCTAATAGAGTTGAACCTTTCTATTGACAGAGCAGTTTTGAAACAGTCTTTCTGTGGAATCTGCAAGTGGATATTTGGATAGCTTGGAGGATTTCGTTGGAAACGGGATTACGTATAAAAAGTAGACGGCAGCATCCTCAGAAACTTCTTTGTGATGTGTGCATTCAAGTCACAGAGTTGAACATTCCCTTTCGTACAGCAGTTTTGAAACACTCTTTCTGTAGTATCTGGAAGTGAACATTAGGACAGTTTTCAGGTCTATGGTGAGAAAGGAAATATCTTCAAATAAAAACTAGACAGAAGCATTCTCATAAAATTGTTTGTGATATGTGAACTCAGCTAACAGACGTGGATCTTTCTTTTGATACAGCAGTTTTGAAAAACACTTTTTGTTGAATCTGCAAGTGGACATTTGGATAGATTTGAAGATTTCGTTGGAAACGGGAATATCTTCATATCAAATCTAGATAGAAGCATTCTCAGAAACGTCTTTGTGATGTTTGCATTCAACTCATAGAGTTGAACATTCCGTTTCAGAGAGCAGCTTTGAGGCACTCTTTTTGTAGTATGTGCAAGTGGATATTTGGAGCGCTCTGAGGCCTACGGTGAAAAAGCAAATATCTTCCCATAACAACTAGACAGAAACATTCTCAGAAACTCCTTTATGACGTATGCACTCACCTAACAGAGAAGAACCTTCCTTTTGACAGAGCAGTTTTGATACACTCTTTTTGTAGAATCTGCAAGTGGATATTTGGATAGCTGTGAAGATTTCGCTGGAAACGGGAATATCTTCCTATAAAATCTAGACAGAAGCATTCTCAGAAACTGCTCTGTGATGTCTGCATTCAAGTCACAGAGTTGAACATTGCCTTTGATAGAGCAGGTTTGAAACGCTCTTTTTGTAGTATATGGAAGTGGACGTTTCGGACGGTTTGAGGCCCATGGTGATAAAGGGAATATCTTCCCCTACAAGCTAGAAAGAAGAATTCTGTGAAACTTGTTTGTGATGTGTGTACTCAACTAACAGAGTTGAACCTTTCTTTTTACAGAGCAGTTTTGAAACACTCTTTTTGTAGAATCTGCGAGGGGATATTTGGATAGATTTCAGGATTTCGTTGGAAAGGGGAATATCTTCATATAAAATCTCGACAGAAGCATTCTCAGAAACTTCTTTGTGATATCTGCCTTTAAGTCACAGAGTTGAATATTCCCTTTCACAGAGTAGGTTTGAAACACTCTTTTTGTAGTATCTGGAAGTGGACATTTGGAGCGCCTTGACACCTACGGTGAAAAGGGTAATATCTTCCCATAAAAACTAGACAGAAGCAATCTCAGAATCCTCTTTGGGATATATGCACGCAGCTAACAGAGTTGAACCTTTCTATTGACAGAGCAGTTTTGAAACAGTCTTTCTGTGGTATCTGCAAGTGGATATTTGGATAGCTTGGAGGATTTTGTTGGAAACGGGATTACGTATAAAAAGTAGACAGCAGCATCCTCAGAAACTTCTTTGTGATGTGTACATTGGAGTCACAGAGTTGAACATTCCCTTTCGTACAGCAGTTTTGAAACACTCTTTCTGTAGTATCTGGAAGTGAACATTAGGACAGCTTTCAGGTCTATGGTGAGAAAGGAAATATCCTCAAGTAAAAACTAGACAGAAGCATTCTCATAAACTTGTTTGTGATGTGTGAACTCAGCTAACAGAGGTGGATCTTTCTTTTGATAGAGCAGTTCTGAAAAACACTTTTTGTTGAATCTGGAAGTGGATATTTGGATAGATTTGAAGATTTCGTTGGAAACGGGAATATCTTCATATCAAATCTAGACAGAAGCATTCTCAGAAACGTCTTTGTGATGTTTGCATTCAACTCATAGAGTTGAGCATTCACTTTCAGAGAGCAGCTTTGAAGCACTCTTTTTGTAGTATGTGCAAGTGGATATTTGGAGCGCTGTGAGGCCTACGGTGAAAAAGCAAATATCTTCCCATAACCACTAGACAGAAACATTCTCAGAAACTCCTTTATGACGTATGTACTCAACTAAGAGAGAAGAACCTTCCTTTTCACAGAGCAGTTTTGATACACTCTTTTTGTAGAATCTGCAAGTGGATATTTGGATAGCTGTGAAGATTTCGTTGGAAACGGGAATATCTTCCTATAAAATCTAGACAGAAGCATTCTCAGAAACTACTCTGTGATGTCTGCATTCAAGTCACAGAGTTGAACATTGCCTTTCCTAGAGCAGGTTTGAAACGCTCTTTTTGTAGTATATGGAAGTGGACGTTTCGGATGGTTTGAGGCCCATGGTGATAAAGGGAATATCTTCCCCTACAAGCTAGAAAGAAGCATTCTGTGAAACTTGTTTGTGATGTGTGTACTCAACTAACAGAGTTGAACCTTACTTTTTACAGAGCAGTTTTGAAACACTCTTTTTGTAGAATCTGCGAGGGGATATTTGGATAGATTTCAGGATTTCGTTCGAAACGGGAATATCTTCATATAAAATCTCGACAGAAGCATTCTCAGAAACTTCTTTGTGATATGTGCATTCAAGTCACAGAGTTGAATATTCCCTTTCACAGAGTAGGTTTGAAACACTCTTTTTGTAGTATTTGGAAGTGGACATTTGGAGCGCCTTGACGCCTACGGTGAAAAGGGAAATATCTTCCATAAAAACTAGACAGAAAGCAATCTCAGAATCTTCTTTGGGATATATGCATGCAGCTAACAGAGTTGAACCTTTCTATTGACAGAGCAGTTTTGAAACAGTCTTTCTGTGGAATCTGCAAGTGGATATTTGGATAGCTTGGAGGATTTCGTTGGAAACGGGATTACGTATAAAAAGTAGACAGAGCATTCTCAGAAACTGCTCTGTGATGTCTGCATTCAAGTCACAGAGTTGAACATTCCCTTTCGTACAGCAGTTTTGAAACACTCTTTCTGTAGTATCTGGAAGTGAACTTTAGGAGAGCTTTCAGGTCTATAGTGAGAAAGGATATATCTTCAAATAAAAACTAGACAGAAGCATTCTGATAAACTTGTTTGTGAAGTGTGATCTCAGCTAACAGAGGTGGATCTTTCTTTTGATAGAGCAGTTCTGAAAAACACTTTGTTGAATCTGCAAGTGGACATTTGGATAGATTTGAAGATTTCGTTGGAAACGGGAATATCGTCATAAATCTAGACAGAAACATTCTCAGAAACGTCTTTGTGATGTTTGCATTCAACTCATAGAGTTGAACATTCCCTTTCAGAGAGCAGCTTTGAAGCACTCTTTTTGTAGCATGTGCAAGTGGACATTTGGAGCGCCCTGAGGCCTACGGGGAAAAAGCAAATATCTTCCCATAACCACTAGACAGAAACATTCTCAGAAACTCCTTTATGACGTATGCACTCACCTAACAGAGAAGAACCTTCCTTTTGACTGAGCAGTTTGATACACTCTTTTTGTAGAATCTGCAAGTGGATATTTGGATAGCTGTGAAGATTTCGTTGGAAACGGGAATATCTTCCTATAAAATCTAGACAGAAGCATTCTCAGAAACTACTCTGTGATGTCTGCATTCAAGTCACAGAGTTGAACATTGCCTTTCATAGAGCAGGTTTGAAACGCTCTTTTTGTAGTATATGGAAGTGGATGTTTCGGACGGTTGGAGGCCCATGGTGATGAAGGGAATATCTTCCCCTACAAGCTAGAAAGAGCATTCTGTGAAACTTGTTTGTGATGTGTGTACTCAACTAACAGAGTTGAACCTTTCTTTTTACAGAGCAGTTTTGAAACACTCTTTTTGTAGAATCTGCGAGGGGATATTTGGATAGATTTCAGGATTTCGTTGGAAACGGGAATATCTTCATATAAAATCTCGACAGAAGCATTCTCAGAAACTTCTTTGTGATATCTGCATTCAAGTCACAGAGTTGAATATTCCCTTTCACAGAGTAGGTTTGAAACACTCTTTTTGTAGTATCTGGAAGTGGACATTTGGAGCGCCTTGACGCCTACAGTGAAAAGGGAAATATCTTCCCATAAAAACTAGACAGAAGCAATCTCAGAATCTTCTTTGGGATATATGCACGCAGCTAACAGAGTTGAACCTTTCTATTGACAGAGCAGTTTTGAAACAGTCTTTCTGTGGAATCTGCAAGTGGATATTTGGATAGCTTTGAGGATTTCGTTGGAAACGGGATTACGTATCAAAAGTAGACAGCAGCATCCTCAGAAAACTTCTTTGTGATGTGTGCATTCAAGTCACAGAGTTGAACATTCCCTTTCGTACAGCAGTTTTGAAACACTCTTTCTGTAGTATCTGGAAGTGAACATTAGGACAGCTTTCAGCTCTATGGTGAGAAAGGAAATATCTTCAAATAAAAACTAGACAGAAGCATTCTCATAAACTTGTTTCTGATGTGTGAACTCAGCTAACAGAGGTGGATCTTTCTTTTGATAGAGCAGTTCTGAAAAACACTTTTTGTTGAATCTGCAAGTGGACATTTGGATAGATTTGAAGATTTTCTTTGGAAACGGGAATATCTTCATATCAAATCTAGACAGAAGCATTCTCAGAAACGTCTTTGTGATGTTTGCATTCAACTCATAGAGTTGAACATTCCGTTTCAGAGACCAGCTTTGAAGCACTCTTTTTGTAGTATGTGCAAGTGGATATTTGGAGCGCTCTGAGGCCTACGGTGAAAAAGCAAATATCTTCCCATAACGACTAGACAGAAACATTCTCAGAAACTGCTTTATGACGTATGCACTCACCTAACAGAGAAGAACCTTCCTTTTGACAGAGCAGTTTTGATACACTCCTTTTGTAGAATCTGCAAGTGGATATTTGGATAGCTGTGAAGATTTCGTTGGAAACGGGAATATCTTCCTATAAAATCTAGACAGAAGCATTCTCAGAAACAGCTCTGTGATGTCTGCATTCAAGTCACAGAGTTGAACATTGCCTTTCATAGAGCAGGTTTGAAACGCTCTTTTTGTAGTGTATGGAAGTGGACGTTTCGGACGGTTTGAGACCCATGGTGATAAAGGGAATATATTCCCCTACAAGCTAGAAAGAAGCATTCTGTGAAACTTGTTTGTGATGTGTGTACTCAACTAACAGAGTTGAACCTTTCTTTTTACAGAGCAGTTTTGAAACACTCTTTTTGTAGAATCTGCGAGGGGATATTTCGATAGATTTCAGGATTTCGTTGGAAACGGGAATATCTTCATATAAAATCTCGACAGAAGCATTCTCAGAAACTTCTTTGTGATATGTGCATTCAAGTCACAGAGTTGAATATTCCCTTTCACAGAGTAGGTTTGAAACACTCTTTTTGTAGTATCTGGAAGTGGACATTTGGAGCGCCTTGACACCTACGGTGAAAAGGGAAATATCTTCCCATAAAAACTAGAGAGAAGCAATCTCAGAATCGTCTTTGGGATATATGCACGCAGCTAACAGAGTTGAACCTTTCTATTGAGAGAGCACTTTTGAAACAGTCTTTCTGTGGAATCTGCAAGTGGATATTTGGATAGCTTGGAGGATTTCGTTGGAAACGGGATTACGTATAAAAAGTAGACAGCAGCATCCTCAGAAACTTCTTTGTGATGTGTGCATTCAAGTCACAGAGTTGAACATTCCCTTTCGTACTGCAGTTTTGAAACACTCTTTCTGTAGTATCTGGAAGTGAACATTAGGACAGCTTTCAGGTCTATGGTGAGAAAGGAAATATCTTCAAATAAAAACTAGACAGAAGCATTCTCATCAACTTGTTTGTGATGTGTGAACTCAGCTAACAGAGGTGGATCTTTCTTTTGATAGAGCAGTTCTGAAAAACACTTTTTGTTGAATCTGCAAGTGGACATTTGGATAGATTTGAAGATTTCGTTGGAAACGGGAATATCTTCATATCAAATCTAGACAGAAGCATTCTCAGAAACGTCTTTGTGATGTTTGCATTCAACCCATAGAGTTGAACATTCCGTTTCAGAGAGCAGCTTTGAAGCACTCTTTTTGTAGTATGTGCAAGTGGATATTTGGAGCGCTCTGAGGCCTAAGGTGAAAAAGCAAATATCTTCCCATAACCACTAGACAGAAACATTCTCAGAAACTCCTTTATGACGTATGTACTCAACTAACAGAGAAGAACCTTCCTTTTGACAGAGCAGTTTTGATACACTCTTTTTGTAGAATCTGCAAGTGGATATTTGGATAGCTGTGAAGATTTCGTTGGAAACGGGAATATCTTCCTATAAAATCCAGACAGAAGCATTCTCAGAAACTGCTCTGTGATGTCTGCATTCAAGTCACAGAGTTGAACATTGCCTTTCATAGAGTAGGTTTGAAACGCTCTTTTTGTAGTATATGGAAGTAGACTTTTTGGACGGTTTGAGGCCCATGGTGATAAAGGGAATATCTTCCCCTACAAGCTAGAAAGAAGCATTCTGTGAAACTTGTTTGTGATGTGTGTACTCAACTAACAGAGTTGAACCATTCTTTTTACAGAGCAGTTTTGAAACACTCTTTTTGTAGAATCTGCGAGGGGATATTTGGATAGATTTCAGGATTTTGTTGGAAACGGGAATATCTTCATATAAAATCTCGACAGAAGCATTCTCAGAAACTTCTTTGTGATATGTGCATTCAAGTCACAGAGTTGAATATTCCCTTCCACAGAGTAGGTTTGAAACACTCTTTTTGTAGTATCTGGAAGTGGACATTTGGAGCGCCTTGACGCCTACGGTGAAAAGGGAAATATCTTCCCATAAAAACTAGACAGAAGCAATCTCAGAATCTTCTTTGGGATATATGCATGCAGCTAACAGAGTTGAACCTTTCTATTGACAGAGCAGTTTTGAAACAGTCTTTCTGTGGAATCTGCAAGTGGATATTTGGATAGCTTGGAGGATTTCGTTGGAAACGGGTTTACGTATAAAAAGTAGACAGCAGCATCCTCAGAAACTTCCTTGTGATGTGTGCATTCAAGTCACAGAGTTGCACATTCCCTTTCGTACAGCAGTTTTGAAACACTCTTTCTGTAGTATCTGGAAGTGAACATTAGGACAGCTTTCAGGTCTATGGTGAGAAAGGAAATATCTTCAAATAAAAACTAGACAGAAGCATTCTCATAAACTTGTTTGTGATGTGTGAACTCAGCTAACAGAGGCGGATCTTTCTGTTGATAGAGCAGTTCGGAAAAACACTTTTTGTTGAATCTGCAAGTGGACATTTGGATAGATTTGAAGATTTCGTTGGAAACGGGAATATCTTCACATCAAATCTAGACAGAAGCATTCTCAGAAACGTCTTTGTGATGTTTGCATTCAACTCATAGAGTTGAACATTCCGTTTCAGAGAGCAGCTTTGAAGCACTCTTTTTGTAGTATGTGCAAGTGGATATTTGGAGCGCTCTGAGGTCTACGGTGAAAAAGCAAATATCTTCCCATAACCACTAGACAGAAACATTCTCAGAAACTCCTTTATGACGTATGTACTCAACTAACAGAGAAGAACCTTCCTTTTGACAGAGCAGTTTTGATACACTCTTTTTGTAGAATCTGCAAGTGGATATTGGGATAGCTGTGAAGATTTCGTTGGAAACGGTAATATCTTCCTATAAAATCTAGACAGAAGCATTCTCAGAAACTGCTCTGTGATGTCTGCATTCAAGTCACAGAGTTGAACATTGCCTTTCATGGAGCAGGTTTGAAACGCTCTTTTTGTAGTATATGGAAATGGACGTTTCGGACGGTTTGAGGCCCATGGTGATAAAGGGAATATCTTCCCCTACAAGCTAGAAAGAAGCATTCTGTGAAACTTGTTTGTGATGTGTGTACTCAACTAACAGAGTTGAACCTTTCTTTTTACAGAGCAGTTTTGAAACACTCTTTTTGTAGAATCTGCGAGGGGATATTTGGATAGATTTCAGGATTTCGTTGGAAACGGGAATATCTTCACATAAAATCTCGACAGAAGCATTCTCAGAAACTTCTTTGTGATATGTGCATTCAAGTCACAGAGTTGAATATTCCCTTTCATAGAGTAGGTTTGAAACACTCTTTTTGTAGTATCTGGAAGTGGACATTTTGAGCGCCTTGACGCCTACGGTGAAAAGGGAAATATCTTCCCATAAAAACTAGACAGAAGCAATCTCAGCAATCTTCTTTGGGATATATGCACGCAGCTAACAGAGTTGAACCTTTCTATTGACAGAGCAGTTTTGAAACAGTCTTTCTGTGGAATCTGCAAGTGGATATTTGGATAGCTTGGAGGATTTCGTTGGAAACGGGATTACGTATAAAAAGTAGACAGCAGCATCCTCAGAAACTTCTTTGTGATGTGTGCATTCAAGTCACAGAGTTGAACATTCCCTTTCGTACAGCAGTTTTGAAACACTCTTTCTGTAGTATCTGCAAGTGAACATTAGGACAGTTTTCAGGTCTATGGTGAGAAAGGAAATATCTTCAAATAAAAACTAGACAGAAGCATTCTCATAAACTTGTTTGTGATGTGTGAACTCAGCTAACAGAGGTGGATCTTTCTTTTGATAGAGCAGTTCTGAAAAACACGTTTTGTTGAATCTGCAAGTGGACATTTGGATAGATTTGAAGATGTCGTTGGAAACGGGAATATCTTCATATCAAATCTAGACAGAAGCATTCTCAGAAACGTCTTTGTGATGTTTGCATTCAACTCATAGAGTTGAACATTCCGTTTCAGAGAGCAGCTTTGAAGCACTCTTTTTGTAGTATGTGCAAGTGGATATTTGGAGCGCTCTGAGGCCTACGGTGAAAAAGCAAATATCTTGCCCATAACCACTAGACAGAAACATTCTCAAAAACTCCTTTATGACGTATGCACTCACCTAACAGAAAAGAACCTTCCTTTTGACAGAGCAGTTTTGATACACTCTTTTTGTAGAATCTGCAAGTGGATATTTGGATAGCTGTGAAGATTTCGTTGGAAACGGGAATATCTTCCTATAAAATCTAGACAGAAGCATTCTCAGAAACTGCTCTGTGATGTCTGCATTCAAGTCACAGAGTTGAACATTGCCTTTCATGGAGCAGATTTGAAACGCTCTTTTTGTAGTATATGGAAGTAGACGTTTCGGACGGTTTCAGGCCCATGGTGATAAAGGGAATATCTTCCCCTACAAGCTAGAAAGAAGCATTACTGTGAAACTTGTTTGTGATGTGTGTACTCAACTAACAGAGTTGAACCTTTCTTTTTACAGAGCAGTTTTGAAACACTCTTTTTGTAGAATCTGCGAGGGGATATTTGGATACATTTCAGCATTTCGTTGGAAACGGGAATATCTTCATATAAAATCTCGACAGAAGCATTCTCAGAAACTTCCTTGTGATATGTGCATTCAGGTCACAGAGTTGAATATTCCCTTTCACAGAGTAGGTTTGAAACACTCTTTTTGTAGTATCTGGAAGTGGACATTTGGAGCGCCTTGACACCTACGGTGAAAAGGGAAATATCTTCCAATAAAAACTAGACAGAAAGGAATCTCAGAATCTTCTTTGGGATATATGCACGCAGCTAACAGATTTGAACCTTTCTATTGACAGAGCAGTTTTGAAACAGTCTTTCTGTGGAATCTGCAAGTGGATATTTGGATAGCTTGGAGGATTTCGTTGGAAACGGGATTACGTATAAAAAGTAGACAGCAGCATCCTCAGAAACATCCTTGTGATGTGTGCATTCAAGTCACAGAGTTGAACATTCCCTTTCGTACAGCAGTTTTGAAACACTCTTTCTTTGTATCTGGAAGTGAACTTTAGGACAGCTTTCAGGTCTATAGTGAGAAAGGATATATCTTCAAATAAAAACTAGACAGAAACATTTTCATAAACTTGTTTGTGATGTGTGAACTCAGCTAACAGAGGTGGATCTTTCTTTTGATAGAGCACTTCTGAAAAACACTTTTTGTTGAATCTGCAAGTGGACATTTGGATAGATTTGAAGATTTCGTTGGAAACGGGAATATCTTCATATCAAATCTAGACAGAAGCATTCTCAGAAACGTCTTTGCGATGTTTGCATTCAACTCATAGAGTTGAACATTCCGTTTCAGAGAGCAGCTTTGAAGCACTCTTTTTGTAGCATGTGCAAGTGGACATTTGGAGCGCCCTGAGGCCTACGGGGAAAAAGCAAATATCTTCCCATAACCACTAGACAGAAACATTCTCAGAAAGTTCTTTATGACGTATGTACTCAACTAGCAGAGAAGAACTTTCCTTTTGACAGAGCATTTCTGATACACTCTTTTTGTACTATCTGCAAGTGGATATTTGGATAGCTGTGAAGATTTCGTTGGAAACGGGAATATCTTCCTATAAAGTCTGGACAGAAGCATTCTCAGAAACTGCTCTGTGATGTCTGCATTCAAGTCACAGAGTTGAACATTGCCTTTCATAGAGCAGGTTTGAAACGCTCTTTTTGTAGTATATGGAAGTGGATGTTTCGGACGGTTGGAGGCCCATGGTGATAAAGGGAATATCTTCCCTACAAGCTAGAAAGAAGCATTCTGTGAAACTTGTTTGTGATGTGTGTAGTCAAGTAACAGAGTTGAACCTTTCTTTTTACAGAGCAGTTTTGAAACACTCTTTTTGTAGAATCTGCGAGGGGATATTTGGATAGATTTCAGGATTTCGTTGGAAACGGGAATATCTTCATATAAAATCTCGACAGAAGCATTCTCAGAAACTTCTTTGTGATATGTGCATTCAAGTCACAGAGTTGAATATTCCCTTTCACAGAGTAGGTTGGAAACACTCTTTTTGTAGTATCTGGAAGTGGACATTTGGAGCGCCTTGACACCTACGGTGAAAAGGGAAATATCTTCCCATTAAAAACTAGACAGAAGCAATCTCAGAATCTTCTTTGGGATATATGCACGCAGCTAACAGAGTTGTACCTTTCTATTGACAGAGCACTTTTGAAACAGTCTTTCTGTGGAATCTGCAAGTGGATATTTGGATAGCTTGGAGGATTTCGTTGGAAACGGGATTACATATAAAAAGTAGACAGCAGCATCCTCAGGTAACTTCTTTGTGATGTGTGCATTCAAGTCACAGTGTTGAACATTCCCTTCCGTACAGCAGTTTTGAAACACTCTTTCTGTAGTATCTGGAAGTGAACATTAGGACAGCTTTCAGGTTTATGGTGAGAAAGGAAATATCTTCAAATAAAAACTAGACAGAAGCATTCTCATAAACTTGTTTGTGATGTGTGAACTCAGCTAACACACGTGGATCTTTCTTTTGATAGAGCAGTTCTGAAAAACACTTTTGTTGAATCTGCAAGTGGACATTTGGATAGATTTGAAGATTTCGTTGGAAACGGGAATATCTTCATATCAAATCTAGACAGAAAGCATTCTCGGAAACGTCTTTGTCATGTTTGCATTCAACTCATAGAGTTGAACATTCCGTTTCAGAGAGCAGCTTTGAAGCACTCTTTTTGTAGTATGTGCAAGGGGATATTTGGAGCGCTCTGAGGCCTAAGGTGAAAAAGCAAATATCTTCCCATAACCACTAAACAGGAAACATTCTCCGAAACTTCTTTATGACGTATGTACTCAACTAGCAGAGAAGAACTTTCCTTTTGACAGAGCATTTTCGATACACTCTTTTTGTACTATCTGCAAGTGGATATTTGGATAGCTGTGAAGATTTCGTTGGAAACGGGAATATCTTCCTATAAAGTCTGGACAGAAGCATACTCAGAAACTGCTCTGCGATGTCTGCATTCAAGTCACAGAGTTGAACATTGCCTTTCCTAGAGCAGGTTTGAAATGCTCTTTTTGTAGTATATGGAAGTGGACGTTTCGGACGGTTTGAGGCCCATGGTGATAAAGGGAATATCTTCCCCTACAAGCCAGAAAGAAGGATTCTGTGAAACTTGTTTGTGATGTGTGTACTCAACTAACAGAGTTGAACCTTTCTTTTTACAGAGCAGTTTTGAAACACTCTTTTTGTAGAATCTGCGAGGGGATATTTGGATAGATTTCAGGATTTCGTTGGAAACGGGAATATCTTCATATAAAATCTCGACAGAAGCATTCTCAGAAACTACTTTGTGATATGTGCATTCAAGTCACAGAGTTGAATATTCCCTTTCACAGAGTAGGTTTGAAACACTCTTTTTGTAGTATCTGGAAGTGGACATTTGGAGCGCCTCGACGCCTACGGTGAAAAGGGAAATATCTTCCCATAAAAACTAGACAGAAGCAATCTCAGAATCTTCTTTGGCATATATGCACGCAGCTAACAGAGTTGAACCTTTCTATTGACAGAGCAGTTTTGAAACAGTCTTTCTGTGGAATCTGCAAGTGGATATTTGGATAGCTTGGAGGATTTCGTTGGAAACGGGATTACGTATAAAAAGTAGACAGCAGCATCCTCAGAAACATCCTTGTGATGTGTGCATTCAAGTCACAGAGTTGAACATTCCCTTTCGTACAGCAGTTTTGAAACACTCTTTCTGTAGTATCTGGAAGTGAACTTTAGGAAAGCTTTCAGGTCTATAGTGAGAAAGGATATATCTTCAAATAAAAACTAGACAGAAGAATACTGATAAACTTGTTTGTGAAGTGTGAACTCAGCTAACAGTGGTGGATCTTTCTTTTGATAGAGCAGTTTTGAAAAACACTTTGTTGAATCTGCAAGTGGACATTTGGATAGATTTGAAGATTTCGTTGGAAACGGGAATATCTTCATATCAAATCTAGACAGAAGCATTCTCAGAAACGTCTTTGTGATGGTTGCATTCAACTCATAGAGTTGAACATTCCGTTTCAGAGAGCAGCTTTGAAGCACTCTTTTTGTAGTATGTTCAAGTGGATATTTGGAGCGCTCTGAGGCCTACGGTGAAAAAGCAAATATCTTCCCATAACCACTAGACAGAAACATTCTCAGAAACTCCTTTATGACGTATGCACTCACCTAACAGAGAAGAACCTTCCTTTTGACAGAGCAGTTTTGATACACTCTTTTTGTAGAATCTGCAAGTGGATATTTGGATAGCTGTGAAGATTTCGTTGGAAACGGGAATATCTTCCTATAAAAACTAGACAGAAGCATTCTCAGAAACTGCTCTGTGATGTCTGCATTCAAGTCACAGAGCTGAACATTGCCTTTCATAGAGCAGGTTTGAAACGCTCTTTTTGTAGTATATGGAAGTGGACGTTTCGGACGGTTTGAGGCCCATGGTGATAAAGGGAATATCTTCCCCTACAAGCTAGAAAGAAGCATTCTGTGAAACTTGTTTGTGATGTGTGTACTCAAGTAACAGAGTTGAACCTTTCTTTTTACAGAGCAGTTTTGAAACACTCTTTTTGTAGAATCTGCGAGGGGATATTTGGATAGATTTCAGGATTTCGTTGGAAACGGGAATATCTTCATATAAAATCTCAACAGAAGCATTCTCAGAAACTTCTTTGTGATATCTGCATTCAAGTCACAGAGTTGAATATTCCCTTTCACAGAGTAGGTTTGAAACACTCTTTTTATAGTATCTGGAATTGGACATTTGGAGCGCCTTGACGCCTACGGTGAAAAGGGAAATATCTTCCCATAAAAACTAGACAGAAGCAATCTCAGAATCTTCTTTGGGATATATGCACGCAGCTAACAGAGTTTAACCTTTCTATTGACAGAGCAGTTTTGAAACAGTCTTTCTGTGGAATCTGCAAGTGGATATTTGGATAGCTTGGAGGATTTCGTTGGAAACGGGATTACGTATAAAAAGTAGACAGCAGCATCCTCAGAAACTTCTTTGTGATGTGTGCATTCAAGTCACAGAGTTGAACATTCCCTTTCGTGCAGCAGTTTTGAAACACTCTTTCTGTAGTATCTGGAAGTGAACATTAGGACAGCTTTCAGGTCTATGGTGAGAAAGGAAATATCTTCAAATAAAAACTAGACAGGAGCATTCTCATAAACTTGTTTGTGATGTGTGAACTCAGCTAACAGAGGTGGATCTTTCTTTTGATAGAGCAGTTCGGAAAAACACTTTTTGTTGAATCTGCAAGTGGACATTTGGATAGATTTGAAGATTTCGTTGGAAACGGGAATATCTTCATATCAAATCTAGACAGAAACATTCTCAGAAACGTCTTTGTGATGTTTGCCTTCAACTCATAGAGTTGAACATTCCCTTTCAGAGAGCAGCTTTGAAGCACTCTTTTTGTAGCATGTGCAAGTGGACATTTGGAGCGCCCTGAGGCCTACGGGGAAAAAGCAAATATCTTCCCATAACCACTAGACAGAAACATTCTCAGAAACTGCTTTATGACGTATGCACTCACCTAACAGAGAAGAACCTTCCTTTTGACAGAACAGTTTTGATACACGCTTTTTGTAGAATCTGCAAGTGGATATTTGGATAGCTGCGAAGATTTCGTTGGAATCGGGAATATCTTCCTATAAAATCTAGACAGAAAGCATTCTCAGAAACTGCTCTGTGATGTCTGCATTCAAGTCACAGAGTTGAACATTGCCTTTCATAGAGCAGGTTTGAAACGCTCTTTTTGTAGTATATGGAAGTAGACGTTTCGGACGGTTTCAGGCCCATGGTGATAAAGGGAATATCTTCCCCTACAAGCTAGAAAGAAGCATTCTGTGAAACTTGTTTGTGATGTGTGTACTCAACTAACAGAGTTGAACCTTTCCTTTTACAGAGCAGTTTTGAAACACTCTTTTTGTAGAATCTGCGAGGGGATATTTGGATAGATTTCAGGATTTCGTTGGAAACGGGAATAACTTCATATAAAATCTCGACAGAAGCATTCTCAGAAACTTCTTTGTGATATGTGCATTCAAGTCACAGAGTTGAATATTCCCTTTCACAGAGTAGGTTTGAAACACTCTTTTTGTAGTATCTGGAAGTGGACATTTGGAGCGCCTTGATGCCTACGGTGAAAAGGAAAATATCTTCTCATAAAAAGTAGACAGAAGCAATCTCAGAATCTTCTTTCGGATATATGCACGCAGCTAACAGAGTTGAACCTTTCTATTGACAGAGCAGTTTTGAAACAGTCTTTCTGTGGAATCTGCAAGTGGATATTTGGATAGCTTGGAGGATTTCGTTGGAAACGGGATTACGTATAAAAATTAGACAGCAGCATCCTCAGAAACATCCTTGTGATGTGTGCATTCAAGTCACAGAGTTGAACATTACCTTTCGTACAGCAGTTTTGAAACACTCTTTCTGTAGTATCTGGAAGTGAACTTTAGGAGAGCTTTCAGGTCTATAGTGAGAAAGGATATATCTTCAAATAAAAACTAGACAGAAGCATTCTCATAAACTTGTTTGTGATGTGTGAACTCAGCTAACAGAGGTGGATCTTTCTTTTGATAGAGCAGTTCTGAAAAACACTTTTTGTTGAATCTGCAAGTGGACATTTGGATAGATTTGAAGATTTCGTTGGAAACGGGAATATCTTCATATCAAATCAAGACAGAAGCATTCTCAGAAACGTCTTTGTGATGTTTGCATTCAACTCATAGAGTTGAACATTCCCTTTCAGAGAGCAGCTTTGAAGCACTCTTTTTGTAGTATGTGCAAGTTGACATTTGGAGCGCTTTGAGGCCTAAGGGGAAAAAGCAAATATCTTCCCATAACCACTAGACAGAAACATTCTCAGAAACTCCTTTATGACGTATGCACTCACCTAACAGAGAAGAACCTTCCTTTTGACAGAGCAGTTTTGATACACTCTTTTTGTAGAATCTGCAAGTGGATATTTGGATAGATGTGAAGGTTTCGTTGGAAACGGAAATATCTTCCTATAAAATCTAGACAGAAGCATTCTCAGAAACTGCTCTGTGATGTCTGCATTCAAGTCACAGAGTTGAACATTGCCTTTCATAGAGCAGGTTTGAAACGCTCTTTTTGTAGTATATGGAAGTAAACGTTTCGGACGGTTTGAGGCCCATGGTGATAAAGGGAATATCTTCCCCTACAAGCTAGAAAGAAGCATTCTGTGAAACTTGTTTGTGATGTGTGTACTCAATTAACAGAGTTGAACCTTTCTTTTTACAGAGCAGTTTTGAAACACTCTTTTTGTAGAATCTGCGAGGGGATATTTGGATAGATTTCAGGATTTTGTTGGAAACGGGAATATCTTCATATAAAATCTCGACAGAAGCATTCTCAGAAACTTCTTTGTGATATCTGCATTCAAGTCACAGAGGTGAATATTCCCTTTCACAGAGTAGGTTTGAAACACTCTTTTTGTAGTATCTGGAAGTGGACATTTGGAGCGCCTTGACGCCTATGGTTAAAAGGGAAATATCTTCCCATAAAAACTAGACAGAAGCAATCTCAGAATTTTCTTTGGGATATATGCACACAGCTAACAGAGTTGAACTTTTCTATTGACATAGCAGTTTTGAAACAGTCTTTCTGTGGAATCTGCAAGTGGATATTTGGATAGCTTGGAGGATTTCGTTGGAAACGGGATTACGTATAAAAAGTAGACAGCAGCATCCTCAGAAGCTTCTTTGTGATGTGTGCATTCAAGTCACAGAGTTGAATATTCCCTTTCGTACAGCAGTTTTGAAACACTCTTTCTGTAGTATCTGGAAGTGAACATTAGGACAGCTTTCAGGTCTATGGTGAGAAAGGAAATATCTTCAAATAAAAACTAGACAGAAGCATTCTCATAAACTTGTTTGTGATGTCTGAACTCAGCTAACAGAGGTGCATCTTTCTTTTGATAGAGCAGTTCTGAAAAACACTTTTTGTTGAATCTGCAAGTGGACATTTGGATAGATTTGAAGATTTCGTTGGAAACGGGAATATCTTCATATCAAATCTAGACAGAGGCATTCTCAGAAACGTCTTTGTGATGTTTGCATTCAACTCATAGAGTTGAACATTCCCTTTCAGAGAGCAGCTTTGAAGCACTCTTTTTGTAGTATGTGCAAGGGGATATTTGGAGCGCTCCTGAGGCCTAAGGTGAAAAAGCAAATATCTTCCCATAACCACTAGACAGAAACATTCTCAGAAACTCCTTTATGACGTATGCACTCACCTAACAGAGAAGAACCTTCCTTTTGACAGAGCAGTTTTGATACACTCTTTTTGTAGAATCTGCAAGTGGATATTTGGATACCTGTGAAGATTTCGCTGGAAACGGGAATATCTTCCTATAAAATCTAGACAGAAGCATTCTCAGAAACTGCTCTGTGATGTCTGCATTCAAGTCACAGAGTTGAACATTGCCTTTCATAGAGCAGGTTTGAAACGCTCTTTTTGTAGTATATGGAAGTGGACGTTTCGGACGGTTTGAGGCCCGTGGTGATAAAGGGAATATCTTCCCCTACAAGCTAGAAAGAAGCATTCTGTGAAACTTGTTTGTGATGTGTGTACTCAACTAACAGAGTTGAACCTTTCTTTTTACAGAGCAGTTTTGAAACCCTCTTTTTCTAGAATCTGCGAGGGGATATTTGGATAGATTTCAGGATTTCGTTGGAAACGGGAATATCTTCATATAAAATCTCGACAGAAGCATTCTCAGAAACTTCTTTGTGATATGTGCATTCAAGTCACAGAGTTGAATATTCCCTTTCACAGAGTAGGTTTGAAACATTCTTTTTGTAGTATCTGGAAGTGGACATTTGGAGCGCCTTGACGCCTACGGTGAAAAGGGAAATATCTTCCCATAAAAACTAGACAGAAGTAATCTCAGAAACTTCTTTGGGATATATGCACGCAGCTAACAGAGTTGAACCTTTCTATTGACAGAGCAGTTTTGAAACAGTCTTTCTGTGGAATCTGCAAGTGGATATTTGGATAGCTTGGAGGATTTCGTTGGAAACGGGATTACGTATAAAAAGTAGACAGCAGCATCCTCAGAAACTTCTTTGTGATGTGTGCATTCAAGTCACAGAGTTGAACATTCCCTTTCGTACAGCAATTTTGAAACACTCTTTCTGTAGTATCTGGAAGTGAACATTAGGACAGCTTTCAGGTCTATGGTGAGAAAGGAAATATCTTCAAATAAAAACTAGACAGAAGCATTCTCATAAACTTGTTTGTGATGTGTGAACTCAGCTAACAGAGGTGGATCTTTCTTTTGATACAGCAGTTTTGAAAAACACTTTTTGTTGAATCTGCAAGTGGACATTTGGATAGATTTGAAGATTTCGTTGGAAACGGGAATATCTTCATATCAAATCTAGACAGAAGCATTCTCGGAAACGTCTTTGTGATGTTTGCATTCAACTCATAGAGTTGAACATTCCGTTTCAGAGAGCAGCTTTGAGGCACTCATTTTGCAGTATGTGCAAGTGGATATTTGGAGCTCTCTGAGGCCTTCGGTGAAAAAGCAAATATCTTCCCATAACCACTAGACAGAAACTTTCTCAGAAACTCCTTTATGACGTATGCACTCACCTAACAGAGAAGAACCTTCCTTTTGACAGAGCAGTTTTGATACACTCTTTTTGTAGAATCTGCAAGTGGATATTTGGATAGCTGTGAAGATTTTGTTGGAAACGGGAATATCTTCCTATAAAATCTAGACAGAATCATTCTCAGAAACTGCTCTGTGATGTCTGCATTCAAGTCACAGAGTTGAACATTGCCTTTCATAGAGCAGGTTTGAAACGCTCTTTTTGTAGTATATGGAAGTGGACGTTTCGGACGGTTTGAGGCCCATGGTGATAAAGGGAATATCTTCCCCTACAAGCTAGAAAGAAGCATTCTGTGAAACTTGTTTGTGATGTGTGTACTCAACTAACAGAGTTGAACCTTTCTTTTTACACAGCAGTTTTGAAACACTCTTTTTGTAGAATCTGCGAGGGGATATTTGGATAGATTTCAGGATTTCGTTGGAAACGGGAATATCTTCATATAAAATCTCGACAGAAGCATTCTCAGAAACTTCCTTGTGATATGTGCATTCAAGTCACAGAGTTGAATATTCCCTTTCACAGAGTAGGTTTGAAACACTCTTTTTGTAGTATCTGGAAGTGGACATTTGGAGCGCCTTGATGCCCACGGTGAAAAGGGAAATATCTTCCCATCAAAACTAGACAGAAGCAATCTCAGAATCTTCTTTGGGATATATGCACGCAGCTAACAGAGTTGAACCTTTCTATTGACAGAGCAGTTTTGAAACAGTCTTTCTGTGGAATCTGCAAGTGGATATTTGGATAGCTTGGAGGATTTCGTTGGAAACGGGATTACGTATAAAAAGTAGAACAGCAGCATCCTCAGAAACTTCTTTGTAATGTGTGCATTCAAGTCACAGAGTTGAACATTCCCTTTCGTACAGCAGTTTTGAAACACTCTTTCTGTAGTAACTGGAAGTGAACATTAGGACAGCTTTCAGGTCTATGGTGAGAAAGGAAATATCTTCCAATAAAAACTAGACAGAAGCATTCTCATAAACTTGTTTGTGATGTGTGAACTCAGCTAACAGAGGTGGATCTTTCTTTTGATAGAGCAGTTCTGAAAAACACTTTTTGTTGAATCTGCAAGTGGACATTTGGATAGATTTGAAGATGTCGTTGGAAACGGGAATATCTTCATATCAAATCTAGACAGAAGCATTCTCAGAAACTGGTTTGTGATGTTTGCATTCAACTCTTAGTGTTGAACACTCCCTTTCATAGAGCAGTTTTGAAACACTCTTTTTGTTGTATGTGGAAGTGGACATTTGGAGCGCTTTGAGAACTCTGGTGAAAAAGCAAATATCTTCCCATAAACACTAGACAGAAACATTCTCAGAAACTTCTTTATGAGGTATGTACTCAACTAGCAGAGAAGAACTTTCCTTTTGACAGAGCACTTTGGATACACACTTTTTGTAGTATCTGCAAGTGGATATTTGGATAGCTGTGAAGATTTCGTTGGAAACGGGAATATCTTCCTATAAAGTCTGGACAGAAGCATTCTCAGAAACTGCTCTGTGATGTCTGCATTCAAGTCACAGAGTTGAACATTGCCTTTCATAGAGCAGGTTTCAAACACTCTTTTTTTAGTATATGGCAGTGGACGATTCGGATGGTTTGAGGATGATGGTGATAAAGGAAATATCTTCCCCTACAAGCTAGAAAGAAGCATTCTGTGAAACTTGTTTGTGATGTGTGTACTCAACTAACAGAGTTGAACCTTTCTTTTTACAGAGCAGTTTTGAAACACTCTTTTTGTAGAATCTGAGAGGGGATATTTGGATACATTTCAGGATTTCGTTGGAAACGGGAATATCTTCATATAAAATCTCGACAGAAGCATTCTCAGAAACTTCTTTGTGATATCTGCATTCAAGTCACAGAGTTGAATATTCCCTTCCACAGAGTAGGTTTGAAACACTCTTTTTGTAGTATCTGGAAGTGGACATTTGGAGCTCCTTGACACCTACGGTGAAAAGGGAAATATCTTCCCATAAAAACTAGACAGAAGCAATCTCAGAATCTTCTTTGGGATATATGCACGCAGCTAACACAGTTGAACCTTTCTATTGAAAGAGCAGTTTAGAAACAGTCTTTCTGTGGAATCTGCAAGTGGATATTTGGATAGCTGTGAAGATTTCGTTGGAAACAGGAATATCTTCCTATAAAGGCTGGACAGAAGCATCCTCAGAAACTTCTTTGTGATGTGTGCATTCAAGTCACAGAGTTGAACATTCCCTTTCGTACAGCAGTTTTGAAACACTCTTTCTGTAGTATCTGGAAGTGAACATTAGGACAGCTTTCAGCTGTATGGTGAGAAAGGAAATATCTTCAAATAAAAACTAGACAGAAGCATTCTCATAAACTTGTTTGTGATGTGTGAACTCAGCTAACAGAGGTGGATCTATCTTTTGATAGAGCAGTTCTGAAAAACACTTTTTGTTGAATCTGCAAGTGGACATTTGGATAGTTTTGAAGATTTCGTTGGAAACGGGAATATCTTCATATCAAATCTAGACAGAAGCATTCTCAGAAACGTCTTTGTGATGTTTGCATTCAACTCATAGAGTTGAACATTCCGTTTCAGAGACCAGCTTTGAAGCACTCTTTTTGTAGTATGTGCAAGTGGATATTTGGTGCGCTCTGAGGCCTACGGTGAAAAAGCAAATATCTTCCCATAACCACTAGACAGAAACATTCTCAGAAACTCCTTTATGACGTATGCACTCACCTAACAGAGAAGAACCTTCCTTTTGACAGAGCAGTTTTGATACACGCTTTTTGTAGAATCTGCAAGTGGATATTTGGATAGCTGTGAAGATTTCGTTGGAAACGGGAATATCTTCCTATAAAATCTAGACAGAAGCATTCTCAGAAACTGCTCTGTGATATCTGCATTCAAGTCACAGAGTTGAACATTGCCTTTCATAGAGCAGGTTTGAAACACTCTTTTTTTAGTATATGGAAGTGGACGTTTCGGACGGTTTGAGGACCATGGTGATAAAGGAAATATCTTCCCCTACAAGCTAGAAAGAAGCATTGTGTGAAACTTGTTTGTGATGTGTGTACTCAACTAACAGAGCTGAACCTTTCTTTTTACAGAGCAGTTTTGAAACACTCTTTTTGTAGAATCTGCGAGGGGATATTTGGATAGATTTCAGGATTTCGTTGGAAACGGGAATATCTTCATATAAAATCTCGACAGAAGCATTCTCAGAAACATCTTTGTGATATGTGCATTCAAGTCACAGAGTTGAGTATTCCCTTTCACAGAGTAGGTTTGAAACACTCCTTTTGTAGTATCTGGAAGTGGACATTTGGAGCGCCTTGACACCTACTGTGAAAAGTGAAATATCTTCCCATAAAAACTAGACAGAAGCAATCTCAGAATTTTCTTTGGGATATATGCACACAGCTAACAGAGTTGAACCTTTCTATTGACATAGCAGTTTTGAAACAGTCTTTCTGTGGAATCTGCAAGTGGATATTTGGATAGCTTGGAGGATTTCGGTGGAAACGGGATTACGTATAAGAAGTAGACAGCAGCATCCTCAGAAACTTCTTTGTGATGTGTGCATTCATGTCACAGAGTTGAACATTCCCTTTCGTACAGCAGTTTTGAAACACTCTTTCTGTAGTATGTGGAAGTGAACATTAGGACAGCTTTCAGGTCTATGGTGAGAAAGGAAATATCTTCAAATAAAAACTAGACAGAAGCATTCTCATAAACTTGTTCGTGATGTGTGAACTCAGCTAACACACGTGGATCTTTCTTTTGATAGAGCAGTTCTGAAAAACACTTTTTGTTGAATCTGCAAGAGGACATTTGGATAGATTTGAAGATTTCGTTGGAAACGGGAATATCTTCATATCAAATCTAGACAGAAAGCATTCTCAGAAACGTCTTTGTGATGTTTGCATTCAACTCATAGAGTTGAACATTCCCTTTCAGAGAGCAGCTTTGAAGCACTCTTTTTGTAGCATTTGCAAGTGGACATTTGGAGCGCCCTGAGGCCTACGGGGAAAAAGCAAATATCTTCCCATAACCACTAGACAGAAACATTCTCAGAAACTCCTTTATGACGTATGCACTCACCTAACAGAAAAGAACCTTCCTTTTGACAGAGCAGGTTTGATACACTCTTTTTGTAGAATCTGCAAGTGGTTATTTGGATAGCTGTGAAGATTTCGTTGGAAACGGGAATATCTTCCTATAAAATCTAGACAGAAGCATTCTCAGAAACTGCTCTGTGATGTCTGCATTCAAGTCACAGAGTTGAACATTGCCTTTCATACAGCAGGTTTGAAACGCTCTTTTTGTAGTATATGGAAGTGGACATTTCGGACGGTTTGAGGACCATGGTGATAAAGGGGAATCTTCCCCTACAAGCTAGAAAGAAGCATTCTGTGAAACTTGTTTGTGATGTGTGTACTCAACTAACAGAGTTGAACCTTTCTTTTTACAGAGCAGTTTTGATACACTCTTTTTGTAGAATCTGCGAGGGGATATTTGGATACATTTCAGGATTTCGTTGGAAATGGGAATATCTTCATATAAAATATCGACAGAAGCATTCTCAGAAACTTCCTTGTGATATGTGCATTCAAGTCACAGAGTGGAATATTCCCTTTCACAGAGTAGGTTTGAAACACTCTTTTTGTAGTATCTGGAAGTGGACATTTGGAGCGCCTTGACGCCCACGGTGAAAAGGGAAATATCTTCCCATAAAAACTAGACAGAAGCAATCTCAGAAAATTCTTTGGGATATATGCACGCAGCTAACGGAGTTGAACATTTCTATTGACAGAGCAGTTTTGAAACAGTCGTTCTGTGGAATCTGCAAGTGGATATTTGGATAGCTTGGAGGATTTCGTTGGAAACGGGATTACGTATAAAAAGTAGACAGCAGCATCCTCAGAAACTTCTTTGTGATGTGTGCATTCAAGTCACAGAGTTGAACATTCCCTTTCGTACAGCAGTTTTGAAACACTCTTTCTGTAGTATCTGGAAGTGAACATTAGGACAGCTTTAAGCTCTATGGTGAGAAAGGAAATATCTTCAAATAAAAACTAGACAGAAGCATTCTCATAAACTTGTTTGTGATGTGTGAACTCAGCTAAGAGACGTGGATCTTTCTTTTGATAGAGCAGTTCTGAAAAACACTTTTTGTTGAATCTGCAAGTGGACATTTGGATAGATTTGAAGATTTCTTTGGAAACGGGAATATCTTCATATCAAATCTAGAGAGAAGCATTCTCAGAAACGTCTTTGTGATGTTTGCATTCAACTCATAGAGTTGAACATTCTCTTTCAGAGAGGAGCTTTGAAGCACACTTTTTTTAGTATGTGCAAGTGGACATTTGGAGCGCTTTGAGGCCTACGGGGAAAAAGCAAATATCTTCCCATAACCACTAGACAGGAACATTCTCAGAAACTCCTTTATGACGTATGCACTCACCTAACACAGAAGAACCTTCCTTTTGACAGAGCATTTTTGATACACTCTTTTTGTAGCATCTGCAAGTGGATATTTGGATATCTGTGAAGATTTCGTTGGAAACGGGAATATCTTCCTATAAAATCTAGACAGAAGCATTCTCAGAAACTGCTCTGTGATGTCTGCATTGAAGTCACAGAGTTGAACATTGCCTTTCATAGAGCAGGTTTGAAACGCTCTTTTTGTAGTATATGGAAGTAGACGTTTCGGACGGTTTGAGGCCCATGGTGATAAAGGGAATATCTTCCCCTACAAGCTAGAAAGAAGCATTCTGTGAAACTTGTTTGTGATGTGTGTACTCAACTAACAGAGTTGAACCTTTCTTTTTACAGAGCAGTTTTGAAACACTCTTTTTGTAGAATCTGCGAGGGGAAATTTGGATAGATTTCAGGATTTCTTTGGAAACGGGAATATCTTCATACAAAATCTCGACAGAAGCATTCTCAGAAACTTCTTTGTGATATCTGCATTCCAGTCACAGAGTTGAATATTCCCTTTCACAGAGTAGGTTTGAAACACTCTTTTTATAGTATCTGCAATTGGACATTTGGAGTGCCTTGACGCCTACGGTGAAAAGGGAAATATCTTCCGATAAAAACTAGACAGAAGCAATCTCAGAATCTTCTTTGGGATATATGCACGCAGCTAACAGAGTTGAACCTTTCTATTGACAGAGCAGGTTTGAAACAGTCTTTCTGTGGAATCTGCAAGTGGATATTTGGATAGCTTGGAGGATTTCGTTGGAAACGGGATTACGTATAAAAAGTAGACAGCAGCATCCTCAGAAACTTCTTTGTGATGTGTGCATTCAAGTCACAGAGTTGAACATTCCCTTTCGTACAGCAGTTTTGAAACACTCTTTCTGTGAGTATCTGGTAGTGAACATTAGGACAGCTTTCAGCTCTATGGTGAGAAAGGAAATATCTTCAAATAAAAACTAGACAGAAGCATTCTCATAAACTTGTTTGTGATGTGTGAACTCAGCAAACAGCGGTGGATCTTTCTTTTGATAGAGCAGTTCTGAAAAACACTTTTTGTTGAATCTGCAAGTGGACATTTGGATAGTTTTGAAGATTTCCCTTGGAAAAAGGAATATCTTCATATCAAATCTAGACAGAAGCATTTTCAGAAACGTCTTTGTGATGTTTGCATTCAACTCATAGAGTTGAACATTCCGTTTCAGAGAGCAGCTTTGAGGCACACTTTTTGTAGTATGTGCAAGTGGATATTTGGAGCGCTGCTGAGGCCTACGGTGAAAAAGCAAATATCTTCCCATAACCACTAGACAGAAACATTCTGAGAAACTCCTTTATGACGTATGCACTCACCTAACAGAGAAGAACCTTCCTTTTGACAGAGCATTTTTGATACACTCTTTTTGTAGAATCTGCAAGTGGATATTTGGATAGCTGTGAAGATTTCGTTGGAAACGGGAATATCTTCCTATAAAATCTAGACAGAAGCATTCTCAGAAACTGCTCTGTGATGTCTACATTCAAGTCACAGAGTTGAACATTGCCTTTCATAGAGCAGGTTTGAAACGCTCTTTTTGTAGTATATGGAAGTGGACGTTTCGGACGGTTTGAGGCCCATGGTGATAAAGGGAATATCTTCCCCTACAAGCTAGAAAGAAGCATTCTGTGAAACTTGTTTGTGATGTGTGTACTCAACTAACAGAGTTGAACCTTTCTTTTTACAGAGCAGTTTTGAAACACTCTTTTTGTAGAATCTGTGAGGGGATATTTGGATAGATTTCAGGATTTCCTTGGAAACGGGAATATCTTCATATAAAATCTCGACAGAAGCATTCTCAGAAACTTCTTTGTGATATCTGCATTCAAGTCACAGAGTTGAATATTCCCTTTCACAGAGTAGGTTTGAAACACTCTTTTTGTAGTATCTGGAAGTGGACATTTGGAGCGCCTTAACACCTACGGTGAAAAGGGAAATATCTTCCCATAAAAACTAGACAGAAGCAATCTCAGAATCTTCTTTGGGATATATGCACGCAGCTAACAGAGTTGAACCTTACTATTGACAGAGCAGTTTTGAAACAGTCTTTCTGTGGAATCTGCAAGTGGATATTTGGATAGCTTGGAGTATTTCGTTGGAAACGGGATTAAGTATAAAAAGTAGACAGCAGCATCCTCAGAAACTTCTTTGTGATGTGTGCATTCAAGTCACAGAGTTGAACATTCCCTTTCGTACAGCAGTTTTGAAACACTCTTTCTGTAGTATCTGGAAGTGAACATTAGTACAGCTTTCAGCTCTATGGTGAGAAAGGAAATATCTTCAAATAAAAACTAGACAGAAGCATTCTCATAAACTTGTTTGTGATGTGTGAACTCAGCTAACAGAGGTGGATCTTTCTTTTGATAGAGCAGTTCTGAAAAACACTTTTTGTTGAATCTGCAAGTGGACATTTGGATAGATTTGAAGATTTCGTTGGAAACGGGAATACCTTCATATCAAATCTAGACAGAAGCATTCTCAGAAACGTCTTTGTGATGTTTGCATTCAACTCATAGAGTTGAACATTCCCTTTCACAGAGCAGCTCTGAAGAACTCTTTTGATAGTATGTGCAAGGGGATATTTGTAGCGCTCTCAGGCCTACGGTGAAAAAGCAAATATCTTCCCATAACGACTAGACAGAAACATTTTCAGAAACTCCTTTATGACGTATGCACTCACCTAACAGAGAAGAACCTTCCTTTTGACAGAGCACTTTTGATACACTCTTTTTGTAGAATCTGAAAGTGGATATTTGGATAGCTGTGAAGATTTCGTTGGAAACGAGAATATCTTCCTATAAAATCTAGACAGAAGCATTCTCAGAAACTGCTCTGTGATGTCTGCATTCAAGTCACAGAGTTGAACATTGCCTTTCATAGAGCAGGTTTGAAACGCTCTTTTTGAAGTATATGGAAGTGGACGTTTCGGACGGTTTGAGGCCCATGGTGATAAAGGGAATATCTTCCCCTACAAGCTAGAAAGAAGCATTCTGTGAAACTTGTTTGTGATGTGTGTACTCAACTAACAGAGTTGAACCTTTCTTTTTACAGAGCAGTTTTGAGACACTCTTTTTGTAGAATCTGCGAGGGGATATTTGGATAGATTTCAGGATTTCTTTGGAAACGGGAATATCTTCATATAAAATCTCGACAGAAGCATTCTCAGAAACTTCTTTGTGATATCTGCCTTCAAGTCACAGAGTTGAATATACCCTTTCACAGAGTAGGTTTGAAACACTCTTTTTGTAGTATCTGGAAGTGGACATTTGGAGCGCCTTGACGCCTACGGTGAAAAGGGAAATATCTTCCCATAAAAACTAGACAGAAGCAATCTCAGAATCTTCTTTGGGATATATGCACGCAGCTAACAGAGTTGAACCTTTCTATTGACAGAGCAGTTTTGAAACAGTCTTTCTGTGGAATCTGCAAGTGGATATTTGGATAGATTGGAGGATTTCGTTGGAAACGGGATTACATATAAAAAGTAGACAGCAGCATCCTCAGAAACTTCTTTGTGATGTGTGCATTCAAGTCACAGAGTTGAACATTCCCTTTCGTACAGCAGTTTTGAAACACTCTTTCTGTAGTATCTGGAAGTGAGCATTAGGACAGCTTTCAGGTCTATGGTGAGAAAGGATATATCTTCAAATAAAAACTAGACAGAAGCATTCTCATAAACTTGTTTGTGATGTGTGAACTCAGCTAACAGACGTGGATCTTTCTTTTGATACAGCAGTTTTGAAAAACACTTTTTGTTGAATCTGCAAGTGGACATTTGGATAGATTTGAAGATTTCGTTGGAAACGGGAATATCTTGATATCAAATCTAGACAGAAGCATTCTCAGAAACGTCTTTGTGATGTTTGCATTCAACTCATAGAGTTGAACATTCCGTTTCAGAGAGCAGCTTTGAAGCACTCTTTTTGTAGTATCTGCAAGTGGATATTTGGAGCGCTCTGAGGCCTACGGTGAAAAAGCAAATATCTTCCCATAACCACTAGACAGAAACATTCTCAGAAACTCCTTTATGACGTATGCACTCACCTAACAGAGAAGAACCTTCCTTTTGACAGAGCAGTTTTGATACACTCTTTTTGTAGAATCTGAAAGTGGATATTTGGATAGCTGTGAAGATTTCGTTGGAAACGGGAATATCTTCCTATAAAATCTAGACAGAAGCATTCTCAGAAACTGCTACTGTGATGTCTGCATTCAAGTCACAGAGTTGAACATTGCCTTTCATAGAGCAGGTTTGAAACGCTCTTTTTGTAGTATATGGAAGTTGACGTTTCGGACGGTTTGAGGCCCATGGTGATAAAGGGAATATCTTCCCCTACAAGCTAGAAAGAAGCATTCTGTGAAACTTGTTTGTGATGTGTGTACTCAACTAACAGAGTTGAACCTTTCTTTTTACAGAGCAGTTTTGAAACACTCTTTTTGTAGAATCTGTGAAGGGATATTTGGATAGATTTCAGGATTTCTTTGGAAACGGGAATATCTTCATATAAAATCTCGACAGAAGCATTCTCAGAAACTTCTTTGTGATATGTGCATTAAAGTCACAGAGTTGAATATTCCTTTTCACAGAGTAGGTTTGAAACACTCTTTTTGTAGTATCTGGAAGTGGACATTTGGAGCGCCTTGACACCTACGGTGAAAAGGGAAATATCTTCCCATAAAAACTAGACAGAAGCAATCTCAGAATTTTCTTTGGGATATATGCACACAGCTAACAGAGTTGAACTTTTCTATTGACATAGCAGTTTTGAAACAGTCTTTCTGTGGAATCTGCAAGTGGATATTTGGATAGCTTGGAGGATTTCGTTGGAAACCGGATTACGTATAAAAAGTAGACAGCAGCATCCTCAGAAACTTCTTTGTGATGTGTGCATTCAAGTCACAGAGTTGAATATTCCCTTTCGTACAGCAGTTTTGAAACACTCTTTCTGTAGTATCTGGAAGTGAAAATTAAGACAGCTTTCAGCTCTATGGTGAGAAAGGAAATATCTTCAAATAAAAACTAGACAGAAGCATTCTCATAAACTTGTTTGTGATGTGTGAACTCAGCTAACACACGTGGATCTTTCTTTTGATAGAGCAGTTCTGAAAATCACTTTTGTTGAATCTGCAAGTGGACATTTGGATATATTTGAAGATTTCGTTGGAAACGGGAATATCTTCATATCAAATCTAGACAGAAGCATTCTCAGAAACGTCTTTGTGATGTTTGCATTCAACTCATAGAGTTGAACATTCCCTTTCAGAGAGCAGCTTTGAAGCACTCTTTTTGTAGTATGTGCAAGAGAAAATTTGGAGCGCCCTGAGGCCTACGGTGAAAAAGCAAATATCTTCCCATAACCACTAGACAGAAACATTCTCAGAAACTCCTTTATGACGTATGCACTCACCTAACAGAGAAGAACCTTCCATTTGACAGAGCAGTTTTGATACACTCTTTTTGTAGAATCTGCAAGTGGATATTTGGATAGCTGTGAAGATTTCGCTGGAAACGGGAATATCTTCCTATAAAATCTAGACAGAAGCATTCTCAGAAACTGCGCTGTGATGTCTGCATTCAAGTCACAGAATTGAACATTGCCTTTCATAGAGCAGGTTTGAAACGCTCTTTTTGTACTATATGGAAGAGGACGTTTCGGACGGTTTGAGGACCATGGTGATAAAGGGAATATCTTCCCCTACAAGCTAGAAAGAAGCATTCTGTGAAACTTGTTTGTGATGTGTGTACTCAACTCACAGAGTTGAACCTTTCTTTTTACAGAGCAGTTTTGAAACACTCTTTTTGTAGAATCTGCGAGGGCATATTTGGATAGATTTCAGGATTTCGTTGGAAAGGGGAATATCTTCATATAAAATCTCGACAGAAGCATTCTCAGAAACTTCTTTGTGATATGTGCATTCAAGTCACAGAGTTGAATATTCCCTTTCACAGAGTAGGTTTGAAACACTCTTTTTGTAGTATCTGGAAGTGGACATTTGGAGCGCCTTGACGCCTACAGTGAAAACGGAAATATCTTCCCATAAAAACTAGACAGAAGCAATCTCAGAATCTTCTTTGGGATATATGCACGCAGCTAACAGAGTTGAACCTTTCTATTGACAGAGCAGTTTTGAAACAGTCTTTCTGTGGAATCTGCAAGTGGATATTTGTATAGCTTGGAGGATTTTCGTTGGAAACGGGATTACGTATAAAAAGTAGACAGCAGCATCCTCAGAAACTTCTTTGTGATGTGTGCATTCAAGTCACAGAGTTGAACATTCCCTTTTGTACATCAGTTTTGAAACACTCTTTCTGTAGTATCTGGAAGTGAACATTAGGACAGCTTTCAGGTCTATGGTGAGAAAGGAAATATCTTCAAATAAAAACTAGACAGAAGCATTCTCATAAACTTCTTTGTGATGTGTGAACTCAGCTAACCGAGGTGGATCTTTCTTTTGATAGAGCAGTTCTGAAAAACACTTTTTGTTGAATCTGCAATTGGACATTTGGATAGATTTGAAGATTTCGTTGGAAACGGGAATAACTTCATTTCAAATCTAGACAGAAGCATTCTCAGAAACGTCTTTCCGATGTTTGCATTCAACTCATAGAGTTGAACATTCCCTTTCAGAGAGCAGCTTTGAAGCACTCTTTTTGTAGCATGTGCAAGTGGACATTTGGAGGGCCCTGAGGCCTACGGGGAAAAAGCAAATATCTTCCCATAACCACTAGACAGAAACATTCTCAGAAACTCCTTTATGACGTATGCACTCACCTAACAGAGAAGAACCTTCCTTTTGACAGAGCAGTTTTGATACACTCTTTTTGTAGAATCTGCAAGTGGATATTTGGATAGCTGCGAAGATTTCGTTGGAAACGGGAATATCTTCCTATAAAATCTAGACAGAAGCATTCTCAGAAACTGCTCTGTGATGTCTGCATTCAAGTCACAGAGCTGAACATTGCCTTTCATAGAGCAGGTTTGAAACGCTCTTTTTGTAGTATATGGAAGTGGACGTTTCGGATGGTTTGAGGCCCATGGTGATAAAGGGAATATCTTCCCCTACAAGCTAGAAAGAAAGCATTCTGTGAAACTTGTTTGTGATGTGTGTACTCAACTAACAGAGTTGAACCTTTCTTTTCACAGAGCAGTTTTGAAACACTCTTTTTGTAGAATCTGCGAGGGGATATTTGGATAGATTTCAGGATTTCGTTGGAAACGGGAATATCTTCATATAAAATCTCGACAGAAGCATTCTCAGAAACTTCTTTGTGATACGTGCATTCTAGTCACACCGTTGAATATTCCCTTTCACAGAGTAGGTTTGAAACACTCTTTTTGTAGTATCTGGAAGTGGACATTTGGAGCGCCTTGACGCCTACGGTGAAAAGGGAAATATCTTCCCATAAAAACTAGACAGAAGCAATCTCAGAATCTTCTTTGGGATATATGTACGCAGCTAATAGAGTTGAACCTTTCTATTGACAGAGCAGTTTTGAAACAGTCTTTCTGTGGAATCTGGAAGTGGATATTTGGATAGCTTGGAGGATTTCGTTGGAAACGGGATTACGTATAAAAAGTAGACAGCAGCATCCTCAGAAACATCTTTGTGATGTGTGCATTCAAGTCACAGAGTTGAACATTCCCTTTCGTACAGCAGTTTTGAAACACTCTTTCTGTAGTATCTGGAAGTGAACATTAGGACAGCTTTCCGGTCTATGGTGAGAAAGGAAATATCTTCAAATAAAAACTAGACAGAAGCATTCTCATAAACTTGTTTGTGATGTGTGAACTCAGCTAAGAGACGTGGATCTTTCTTTTGATAGAGCAGTTCTGAAAAACACTTTTTGTTGAATCTGCAAGTGGACATTTGGATAGATTTGAAGATTTCTTTGGAAACGGGAATATCTTCATATGAAATCTAGAGAGAAGCATTCTCAGAAACGTCTTTGTCATGTTTGCATTCAACTCATAGAGTTGAACATTCCGTTTCAGAGAGCAGCTTTGAAGCACTCTTTTTGTAGTATGTGCAAGCGGATATTTGGAGCACTCTGAGGCCTACGGTGAAAAAGCAAATATCTTCCCATAACCACTAGACAGAAACATTCTCAGAAACTCCTCTATGACGTATGCACTCACCTAACAGAGAAGAACCTTCGTTTTGACAGAGCAGTTTTGATACACTCTTTTTGTAGAATCTGCAAGTGGATATTTGGATAGCTGTGAAGATTTCGTTGGAAACGGGAATATCTTCCTATAAAATCTAGACAGAAGCATTTTCAGAAACTGCTCTGTGATATCTGTATTCAAGTCACAGAGTTGAACATTGCCTTTCATAGAGCAGGTTTGAAACGCTCTTTTTGTAGTATATGTAAGTGGATGTTTCGGACGGTTGGAGGCCCATGGTGATAAAGGGAATATCTTCCCCTACAAGCTAGAAAGAAGCATTGTGTGAAACTTGTTTGTGATGTGTGTAGTCAACTAACAGAGTTGAACCTTTCTTTTTACAGAGCAGTTTTGAAACACTCTTTTTGTAGAATCTGCGAGGGGATATTTGGATAGATTTCAGGATTTCGATGGAAACGGGAATATCTTCATATAAAATCTCGACAGAAGCATTCTCAGAAACTTCTTTGTGATATGTGCATTCGAGTCACAGAGTTGAATATTCCCTTTCACAGAGTAGGTTAGAAACACTCTTTTTGTAGTATCTGGAAGTGGACATTTGGAGCGCCTTGACACCTACGGTGAAAAGGGAAATATCTTCCCATAAAAACTAGACAGAAGCAATCTGAGAATCTTCTTTGGGATATATGCACGCAGCTAACAGAGTTGAACCTTTCTATTGACAGAGCAGTTTTGAAACAGTCTTTCTGTGGAATCTGCAAGTGGATATTTGGATAGCTTGGAGGATTTCGTTGGAAACGGGATTACGTATAAAAAGTAGACAGCAGCATCCTCTGAAACTTCTTTGTGATGTGTGCATTCAAGTCACAGAGTTGAACATTCCCTTTCGTACAGCAGTTTTGAAACACTCTTTCTGTAGTATCTGGAAGTGAACATTAGGACAGCTTTCAGCTCTATGGTGAGAAAGGAAATATCTTCAAATAAAAACTAGACAGAAGCATTTTCATAAACTTGTTTGTGATGTGTGAACTCAGCTAACAGAGGTGGATCTTTCTTTTGATAGAGCAGTTCTGAAAAACACTTTTTTTTGAATCTGCAAGTGGACATTTGGATAGATTTGAAGATTTCGTTGGAAACGGGAATATCTTCATATCAAATCTAGACAGAAGCATTCTCAGGAAACGTCTTTGTGATGTTTGCATTCAACTCATAGAGTTGAACATTCCGTTTCAAAGAGCAGCTTTGAGGCACTCTTTTTGTAGTATGTGCAAGTGGATATTTGGAGCGCTCTGAGGCCTACGGTGAAAAAGCAAATATCTTCCCATAACCACTAGACAGAAACATTCTCAGAAACTCGTTTATGACGTATGCACTCACCTAACAGAGAAGAACCTTCCATTTGACAGATCAGTTTTGATACACTCTTTTTGTAGAATCTGCAAGTGGATATTTGGATAGCTGTGAAGATTTTGCTGGAAACGGGAATATCTTCCTATAAAATCTAGACAGAAAGCATTCTCAGAAACTGCTATGTGATGTCTGCATTCAAGTCACAGAGTTGAACATTGCCTTTCCTAGAGCAGGTTTGAAACGCTCTTTTTGTAGTATATGGAAGTGGACGTTTCGGACGGTTTGAGGCCCATGGTGATAAAGGGAATATCTTCCCCTACAAGCTAGAAAGAGCATTGTTTGAAACTTGTTTGTGATGTGTGTACTCAACTAACAGAGTTGAACCTTTCTTTTTACAGAGCAGTTTTGAAACACTCTTTTTGTAGAATCTGCGAGGGGATATTTGGATACATTTCAGCATTTCGTTGGAAACGGGAATATCTTCATATAAAATCTCGACAGAAGCATTCTCAGAAACTTCTTTGTCATATCTGCCTTCAAGTCACAGAGTTGAATATTCCCTTTCACAGAGTAGGTTTGAAACACTCTTTTTGTAGTATCTGGAAGTGGACATTTGGAGTGCCTTGACGCCTACGGTGAAAATGGAAATATCTTCCCATAAAAACTAGACAGAAGCAATCTCAGAATTTTCTTTGGGATATATGCACACAGCTAACTGAGTTGAACTTTTCTATTGACATAGCAGTTTTGAAACAGTCTTTCTGTGGAATCTGCAAGTGGATATTTGGATAGCTTGGAGGATTTCGTTGGAAATGGGATTACGTATAAAAAGTAGACAGCAGCATCCTCAGAAACTTCTTTGTGATGTATGCATTCAACTCCCAGAGTTGAACATTCCCTTTCGTACAGCAGTTTTGAAACACTCTTTCTGTAGTATCTGGAAGTGAACATTAGGACAGCTTTCAGGTCTATGGTGAGAAAGGAAATATCTTCAAATAAAAACTAGACAGAAGCATTCTCATAAACTTGTTTGTGATGTGTGAACTCAGCTAACAGAGGTGGACCTTTCTTTTGATAGAGCAGTTCTGAAAAACACTTTTTGTTGAATCTGCAAGTGGACATTTGGATAGATTTGTAGATTTCGTTGGAAACGGGAATATCTTCATATCAAATCTAGACAGAAGCATTCTCAGAAACGTCTTTGTGATGTTTGCATTCAACTCATAGAGTTGAACATTCCGTTTCAGAGAGCAGCTTTGAAGCACTCTTTTTGTAGTATGTGCAAGTGGATATTTGGAGCGCTCTGAGGCCTACAGTGAAAAAGCAAATATCTTCCCATAACCACTAGACAGAAACATTCTCAGAAACTCCTTTATGACGTATGCACTCACCTAACAGAGAAGAACCTTCCTTTTGACAGAGCAGTTCTGATACACTCTTTTTGTAGAATCTGCAAGTGGATATTTGGATAGCTGTGAAGATTTCGTTGGAAACGGGAATATCTTCCTATAAAATCTAGACAGAAGCATTCTCAGAAACTGCTCTGTGATGTCTGTATTCAAGTCACAGAGTTGAACATTGCCTTTCATAGAGCAGGTTTGAAATGCTCTTTTTGTAGTATATGGAAGTGGACTTTTCGGACGGTTTGAGGCCCATGGTGATAAAGGGAATATCTTCCCCTACAAGCTAGAAAGAAGCATTCTGTGAAACTTGTTTGTGATGTGTGTACTCAATTAACAGAGTTGAACCTTTCTTTTTACAGAGCAGTTTTGAAACACTCTTTTTGTAGAATCTGCGAGGGGATATTTGGATAGATTTCAGGATTTCATTGGAAACGGGAATATCTTCATATAAAATCTCGACAGAAGCAATCTCAGAATCTTCTTTGGGATATATGCACGCAGCTAACAGAGTTGAACCTTTCTATTGACAGAGCAGTTTTGAAACAGTCTTTCTGTGGAATCTGCAAGTGGATATTTGGATAGCTTGGAGGATTTCGTTGGAAACGGGATTACGTATAAAAACTAGACAGCCGCATCCTCAGAAACTTCTTTGTGATGTGTGCATTCAAGTCACAGAATTGAACATTCCCTTTCGTACAGCAGTTTTGAAACACTTTTTCTGTAGCATCTGGAAGAGAACATTAGGACAGCTTTCAGGTCTATGGTGAGAAAGGAAATATCTTCAAATAAAAACTAGACAGAAAGCATTCTCATAAACTTGTTTGTGATGTGTGAACTCAGCTAACAGAGGTGGATCTTTCTTTTGATAGAGCAGTTCTGAAAAACACTTTTTGTTGAATCTGCAAGTGGACATTTGGATAGATTTGAAGATTTCGTTGGAAACGGGAATATCTTCATATCAAATCTAGACAGAGCATTCTCAGAAACGTCTTTGTGATGTTTGCATTCAACTCATAGAGTTGAACATTCCCTTTCAGAGAGCAGCTTTGAAGCACTCTTTTTGTAGCATGTGCAAGTGGACATTTGGAGCGCCCTGAGGCCTACGGGGAAAAAGCAAATATCTTCCCATAACCACTACACAGAAACATTCTCAGAAACTCCTTTATGACGTATGCACTCACCTAACAGAGAAGAACCTTCCTTTTGACAGAGCAGTTTTGATACACTCTTTTTGTAGAATCTGCAAGTGGATATTTTGATAGCTGTGAAGATTTCGTTGGAAACGGGAATATCTTCCTATAATATCTAGACAGAAGCATTCTCAGAAACTGCTCTGTGATGTCTGCATTCAAGTCACAGAGTTGAACATTGCCTTTCCTAGAGCAGGTTTGAAACGCTCTTTTTGTAGTATATGGAAGTGGAAGTTTCGGACGGTTTGAGGCCCATGGTGATAAAGGGAATATCTTCCCCTACAAGCTAGAAGGAAGCATTCTGTGAAACTTGTTTGTGATGTGTGTACTCAACTAACAGAGTTGAACCTTTCTTTTTACAGAGCAGTTTTGAAACACTCTTTTTGTAGAATCTGCGAGGGGATATTTGGATAGATTTCAGGATTTCGTTGCAAACGGGAATATCTTCATAGAAAATCTCGACAGAAGCATTCTCAGAAACTTCTTTGTGATATCTGCCTTCAAGTCACAGAGTTGAATATTCCCTTTCGCAGAGTAGGTTTGAAACACTCTTTTTGTAGTATCTGGAAGTGGACATTTGGAGCTCCTTGACACCTACAGTGAAAAGGGAAATATCTTCCCATAAATACTAGACAGAAGCAATCTCAGAATTTTCTTTGGGATATATGCACACAGCTAACAGAGTTGAACCTTTCTATTGACATAGCAGTTTTGAAACAGTCTTTCTGTGGAATCTGCAAGTGGATATTTGGATAGCTTGGAGGATTTCGTTGGAAACGGGATTACGTATAAGAAGTAGACAGCAGCATCCTCAGAAACTTCTTTGTGATGTGTGCATTCAAGTCACAGAGTTGAACATCACCTTTCGTACAGCAGTTTTGAAACACTCTTTCTGTAGTATCTGGAAGTGAACATTAGGTCAGCTTTCAGGTCTATGGTGAGAAAGGAAATATCTTCAAATAAAAACTAGACAGAAGCATTCTCATAAACTTGTTTGTGATGTGTGAACTCAGCTAAGAGACGTGGATCTTTCTTTTGATAGAGCAGTTCTGAAAAACACTTTTTGTTGAATCTGCAAGTGGACATTTGGATAGGTTTGAAGATTTGCTTTGGAAACGGGAATATCTTCATATCAAATCTAGACAGAAGCATTCTCAGAAACGTCTTTGTGATGTTTGCATTCAACTCATAGAGTTGAACATTCCCTTTCAGAGACCAGCTTTGAAGCACTCTTTTTGTAGCATGTGCAAGTGGACATTTGGAGCGCCCTGAGGCCTACGGGGAAAAAGCAAATATCTTCCCATAACCACTAGACAGAAACATTCTAAGAAACTCCTTTATGACGTATGCACTCACCTAACAGAGAAGAACCTTCCTTTTGACAGAGCAGTTTTGATACACTCTTTTTGTAGAATCTGCAAGTGGATATTTGGATAGCTGTGAAGATTTCGTTGGAAACGGGAATATCTTCCTATAAAATCTAGACAGAAGCATTCTCAGAAACTGCTCTGTGATGTCTGCATTCAAGTCACAGAGTTGAACATTGCCTTTCATAGAGCAGGTTTGAAATGCTCTTTTTGTAGTATATGGAAGTGGACGTTTCAGACGGTTTGAGGCCGATGGTGATAAAGGGAATATCTTCCCCTACAAGCTAGAAAGAAGCATTCTGTGAAACTTGTTTGTGAGGTGTGTACTCAACTAACAGAGTTGAACCTTTCTTTTTACAGAGCAGTTTTGAAACACTCTTTTCGTAGAATCTGCGAGGGGATATTTGGATAGATTTCAGGATTTCGTTGGAAACGGGAATATCTTCATATAAAATCTCGACAGAAGCATTCTCAGAAACTTCTTTGTGATATCTGCATTCAAGTCACAGAGTTGAATATTCCCTTTCACAGAGTAGGTTTGAAACACTCTTTTTGTAGTATCTGGAAGTGGACATTTGGAGCGCCTTGACGCCTACGGTGAAAAGGGAAATATCTTCCCATAAAAACTAGACAGCAAGCAATCTCAGAATCTTCTTTGGGATATATGCACGCAGCTAACAGAGTTGAACCTTTCTATTGACAGAGCAGTTTTGAAACATTCTTTCTGTGGAATCTGCAAGTGGATATTTGGATAGCTTGGAGGATTTCGTTGGAAACGGGATTACGTATAAAAAGTAGACAGAGAATCCTCAGAAACTTCTTTGTGATGTGTGCATTCAAGTCACAGAGTTGAACATTCCCTTTCGTACAGCAGTTTTGAAACACTCTTTCTGTAGTATCTGGAAGTGAACATTAGGACAGCTTTCAGGTCTATGGTGAGAAAGGAAATATCTTCAAATAAAAACTAGACAGAAGCATTCTCATAAACTTGTTTGTGATGTGTAAACTCAGCTAACAGAGGTGGATCTTTCTTTTGATAGAGCAGTTCTGAAAAACACTTTTTGTTGAATCTGCAAGTGGATATTTGGATAGATTTGAAGATTTCGTTGGAAACGGGAATATCTTCATATCAAATCTAGACAGAAGCATTCTCAGAAACGTCTTTGTGATGTTTGCATTCAACTCATAGAGTTGAACATTCCGTTTCAGAGAGCAGCTTTGAAGCACTCTTTTTGTAGTATGTGCAAGTGGATATTTGGAGCGCTCTGAGGCCTACGGTGAAAAAGCAAATATCTTACCATAACCACTAGACAGAAACATTCTCAGAAACTCCTTTATGACGTATGCACTCACCTAACAGAGAAGAACCTTCCTTTTGACAGAGCAGTTTTGATACACTCTTTTTGTAGAATCTCCAAGTGGATATTTGGATAGCTGTGAAGGTTTCGTTGGAAACGGAAATATCTTCCTATAAAATCTAGACAGAAGCATTCTCAGAAACTGCTCTGTGATGTCTGCATTCAAGTCACAGAGTTGAACATTGCCTTTCATAGAGCAGGTTTGAAACCCTCTTTTTGAAGTATATGGAAGTGGACGTTTCGGACGGTCTGAGGCCCATGGTGATAAAGGGAATATCTTCCCCTACAAGCTAGAAAGAAGCATTCTGTGAAACTTGTTTGTGATGTGTGTACTCAACTAACAGAGTTGAACCTTTCTTTTTACAGAGCAGTTTTGAAACACTCTTTTTGTAGAATCTGCGAGGAGATATTTGGATAGATTTCAGGATTTTGTTGGAAACGGGAATATCTTCATATAAAATCGCGACAGAAGCATTCTCAGAAACTTCTTTGTGATATCTGCCTTCAAGTCACAGAGTTGAATATTCCCTTTCTCAGAGTAGGTTTGAAACACTCTTTTTGTAGTATCTGGAAGTGGACATTTGGAGCGCCTTGACACCTACGGTGAAAAGGGAAATATCTTCCCATAAAAACTAGACAGAAGCAATCTCAGAATCTTCTTTGGGATATATGCACGCAGCTAACAGAGTTGAACCTTTCTATTGACAGAGCAGTTTTCAAACAGTCTTTCTGTGGAATCTGCAAGTGGATATTTGGATAGCTTGGAGGATTTCGTTGGAAACGGGATTACGTATAAAAAGTAGACAGCAGCATCCTCAGAAACTTCTTTGTGATGTGTGCATTCAAGTCACACAGTTGAACATTCCCTTTCGTACAGCAGTTTTGAAACACTCTTTCTGTAGTATCTGGAAGTGAACATTAGGACAGCTTTCAGCTCTATGGTGAGAAAGGAAATATCTTCAGATAAAAACTAGACAGAAGCATTCTCATAAACTTGTTTGTGATGTGTGAACTCAGCTAACAGAGGTGGATCTTTCTTTTGATAGAGCAGTTCTGAAAAACACTTTTTGTGGAATCTGCAAGTGGACATTTGAATAGATTTGAAGATTTCGTTGGAAACGGGAATATCTTCATATCAAATCTAGACAGAAGCATTCTCAGAAACGTCGTTGTGATGTTTGCATTCAACTCATAGAGTTGAACATTCCGTTTCAGAGAGCAGCTTTGAGGCACTCTTTTTGTAGTATGTGCAAGTGGATATTTGGAGCGCTCTGAGGCCTACGGTGAAAAAGCAAATATCTTCCCATAACCACTAGACAGAAACATTCTCAGAAACTCCTTTATGACGTATGTACTCAACTAACAGAGAAGAACCTTCCTTTTGACAGAGCAGTTTTGATGCACTCTTTTTGTAGAATCTGCAAGTGGATATTTGGATAGCTGTGAAGATTTCGTTGGAAACGGGAATATCTTCCTATAAAATCTAGACAGAAGCATTCTCAGAAACAGCTCTGTGATGTCTGCATTCAAGTCACAGAGTTGAACATTGCCTTTCATAGAGCCGGTTTGAAACGCTCTTTTTGTAGTATATAAAAGTGGACGTTTCGGACGGTTTGAGGCCCATGGTGATAAAGGGAATATCTTCCCCTACAAGCTAGAAAGAAGCATTCTGTGAAACTTGTTTGTGATGTGTGTACTCAACTAACAGAGTTGAACCTTTCTTTTTACAGAGCAGTTTTGAAACACTCTTTTTGTAGAATCTGCGAGGGGATATATGGATAGATTTCAGGATTTCGTTGGAAACGGGAATATCTTCATATAAAATCTCGACAGAAGCATTCTCAGAAACTTCTTTGTGATATCTGCATTCAAGTCACAGAGTTGAATATTCCCTTTCACAGTGTAGGTTTGAAACACTCTTTTGTAGTATCTGGAAGTGTACATTTGGAGCGCCTTGACGCCTACGGTGAAAAGGGAAATATCTTCCCATAAAAACTAGACAGAAGCAATCTCAGAATCTTCTTTGGGATATATGCACGCAGCTAACAGAGTTGAACCTTTCTATTGACAGAGCAGTTTTGAAACAGTCTTTCTCTGGAATCTGCATGTGGATATTTGGATAGCTTGGAGGATTTCGTTGGAAACGGGATTACGTATAAAAAGTAGACAGCAGCATCCTCAGAAACTTCTTTGTGATGTGTGCATTCAAGTCACAGAGTTGAACATTCCCTTTCGTACAGCAGTTTTGAAACACTCTTTCTGTAGCATATGGAAGTGAACATTAGAACAGCTTTCAGATCTATGGTGAGAAAGGAAATATCTTCAAATAAAAACTAGACAGAAGCATTCTCATAAACTTGTTTGTGATGTGAGAACTCAGCTAACAGAGGTGGATGTTTCTTTTGATAGAGCAGTTCTGAAAAACACTTTTTGTTGAATCTGCAAGTGGACATTTGGATAGATTTGAAGATTTCGTTGGAAACGGGAATATCTTCATATCAAATCTAGACAGAAGCATTCTCAGAAACGTCGTTGTGATGTTTGCATTCAACTCATAGAGTTGAACATTCCGTTTCAGAGAGCAGCTTTGAGGCACTCTTTTTGTAGTATGTGCAAGTGGATATTTGGAGCGCTCTGAGGCCTTCGGTGAAAAAGCAAATATCTTCCCATAACCACTAGACAGAAACATTCTCAGAAACTCCTGTATGACGTATGCACTCACCTAACAGAGAAGAACCTTCCTTTTGACAGAGCAGTTTTGATACACTCTTTTTGTAGGATCTGCAAGTGGATATTTGGATAGCTGTGAAGATTTCGTTGGAAACGGGAATATCTTCCTATAAAATCTAGACAGAAGCATTCTCAGAAACTGCTCTGTGATGTCTGCATTCAAGTCACAGAGTTGAACATTGCCTTTCATAGAGCAGGTTTGAAACGCTCTTTTTGTAGTATATGGAAGTGGATGTTTCGGACGGTTGGAGGCCCGTGGTGATAAAGGGAATATCTTCCCCTACAAGCTAGAAAGAAACATTCTGTGAAACTTGTTTGTGATGTGTGTACTCAACTAACAGAGTTGAACCTTTCTTTTTACAGAGCAGTTTTGAAACACTCTTTTTGTAGAATCTGCGAGGGGATATTTGGATAGATTTCAGGATTTCGTTGGAAACGGGAGTATCTTCACATAAAATCTCGACAGAAGCATTCTCAGAAACTTCTTTGTGATATGTGCATTCAAGTCACAGAGTTGAATATTCCCTTTCACAGAGTAGGTTTGAAACACTCTTTTTGTAGTATCTGGAAGTGGACATTTGGAGCGCCTTGACACCTACGGTGAAAAGGGAAATATCTTCCCATAAAAATTAGACAGAAGCAATCTCAGAATCTTCTTTGGGATATATGCACGCAGCTAACAGAGTTGAACCTTTCTATTGACAGAGCAGTTTTGAAACAGTCTTTCTGTGGAATCTGCAAGTGGATATTTGGATAGCTTGGAGGATTTCGTTGGAAACGGGATTACGTATACAAAGTAGCCAGCAGCATCCTCAGAAACTTCTTTGTGATGTGTGCATTCAAGTCACAGAGTTGAACATTCCTTTTCGTACAGCAGTTTTGAAACACTCTTTCTGTAGTAACTGGAAGTGAACATTAGGACAGCTTTCAGCTCTATGGTGAAAAAGGAAATATCTTCAAATAAAAACTAGACAGAAGCATTCTCATAAACTTGTTTGTGATGTCTGAACTCAGCTAACAGAGGTGGATCTTTCTTCTGATAGAGCAGTACTAAAAACGCTTTTTGTTGAATCTGCAAGTGGACATTTGGATAGATTTGAAGATTTCGTTGGAAACGGGAATATCTTCATATCAAATCTAGACAGAAGCATTCTCAGAAACGTCTTTGTGATGTTTGCATTCAACTCATAGAGTTGAACATTCCGTTTCAAAGAGCAGCTTTGAGGCACTCTTTTTGTAGTATGTGCAAGTGGATATTTGGAGCGCTCTGAGGCCTAAGGTGAAAAAGCAAATATCTTCCCATAACCACTAGACAGAAACATTCTCAGAAACTTCTTTATGACGTATGTACTCAAGTAGCAGAGAAGAACTTTCCTTTTGACAGAGCATTTTTGATACATTCTTTTTCTAGTATCTGCAAGTGGATATTTGGATAGCTGTGAAGATTTCGTTGGAAACGGGAATATCTTCCTATAAAGTCTGGACAGAAGCATTCTCAGTAAACTGCTCTGTGATGTCTGCATTCAAGTCACAGAGTTGAACATTGCCTTTCATAGAGCAGGTTTGAAACGCTCTTTTTGTAGTATATGGAAGTGGACGTTTCGGACGGTTTGAGGCCCATGGTGATAAAGGGAATATCTTCCCCTACAAGCTAGAAAGAAGCATTCTGTGAAACTTGTTTGTGATGTGTGTACTCAACTAACAGAGTTGAACCTTTCTTTTTACAGAGCAGTTTTGAAACACTCTTTTTGTAGAATCTGCGAGGGGATATTTGGATAGATTTCAGGATTTCTTTGGAAAGGGGAATATCTTCATATAAAATCTCGACAGAAGCATTCTCAGAAACTTCTTTGTGATATGTGCATTCAAGTCACAGAGTTGAATATTCCCTTTCACAGAGTAGGTTTGAAACACTCCTTTTGTAGTATCTGGAAGTGGACATTTGGAGCGCCTTGACGCCTACGGTGAAAAGGGAAATATCTTCTCATAAAAAGTAGACAGAAGCAATCTCAGAATCTTCTTTGGGATATATGCACGCAGGCTAACAGAGTTGAACCTTTCTATTGACAGAGCAGTTTTGAAACAGTCTTTCTGTGGAATCTGCAAGTGGATATTTGGATAGCTTGGAGGATTTCGTTGGAAACGGGATTACGTATAAAAAGTAGACAGCAGCATCCTCAGAAACTTCTTTGTGATGTGTGCATTCAAGTCACAGAGTTGAACATTCCCTTTCGTACAGCAGTTTTCAAACACTCTTTCTGTAGTATCTGGAAGTGAACATTAGGACAGCTTTCAGCTCTATGGTGAGAAAGGAAATATCTTCAAATAAAAACAAGACAGAAGCATTCTCATTAACTTGTTTGTGATGTGTGAACTCAGCTAACACAGGTGGATCTTTCTTTTGATAGAGCAGTTCTGAAAAACATTTTTTGTTGAATCTGCAAGTGGACATTTGGATAGATTTGAAGATTTCGTTGGAAACGGGAATATCTTCATATCAAATCTAGACAGAAGCATTCTCAGAAACGTCTTTGTGATGTTTGCATTCAACCCATAGAGTTGAACATTCCCTTTCAGAGAGCAGCTTTGAAGCACTCTTTTTGTAGTATGTGCAAGGGGATATTTGGAGCGCTCTGTGGCCTAAGGTGAAAAATCAAATATCTTCCCATAACCACTAGACAGAAACATTCTCAGAAACTCCTTTATGACGTATGCACTCACCTAACAGAGAAGAACCTTCCTTTTGACAGAGCAGTTTTGATACACTCTTTTTGTAGAATCTGCAAGTGGATATTTGGATAGCTGTGAAGATTTCGTTGGAAACGGGAATATCTTCTTATAAAATCTAGACAGAAGCATTCTCAGAAACTGCTCTGTGATGTCTGCATTCAAGTCACAGAGTTGAACATTGCTTTTCCTAGAGCAGGTTTGAAACGCTCTTTTTGTAGTATATGGAAGTGGACGTTTCGGACGGTTTGAGGCCCATGGTGTTAAAGGGAATATCTTTCCCTACAAGCTGGAAAGAAGCATTCTGTGAAACTTGTTTGTGATGTGTGCACTCAACTAACAGAGCCTTTCTTTTTACAGAGCAGTTTTGAAACACTCTTTTTGTAGAATCTGCGAGGGGATATTTGGATAGATTTCAGGATTTCGTTGGAAACGGGAATATCTTCATATAAAATCTCGACAGAAAGCATTCTCAGAAACTTCTTTGTGATATGTGCATTCAAGTCACAGAGTTGAATATTCCCTTTCACAGAGTAGGTTTGAAACACTCTTTTTGTAGTATCTGGAAGTGGACATTTGGAGCGCCTTGACGCCTACGGTGAAAAGGGAAATATCTTCCCATAAAAACTAGACAGAAGCAATCTCAGAATCTTCTTTGGGATATATGCACGCAGCTAACAGAGTTGAACCTTTCTATTGACAGAGCAGTTTTGAAACACTCTTTCTGTGGAATCTGCAAGTGGATATTTGGAGAGCTTGGAGGATTTCGTTGGAAACGGGATTACGTATAAAAAGTAGACAGCAGCATCCTCAGAAACTTCTTTGTGATGTGCGCATTCAAGTCACAGAGTTGAACATTCCCTTTCGTACAGCAGTTTTGAAACACTCTTTCTGTAGTAACTGGAAGTGAACATTAGGACAGCTTTCAGGTCTATGGTGAGAAAGGAAATATCTTCAAATAAAAACTAGACAGAAGCATTCTCATAAACTTGTTTGTGATGTGTGAACTCAGCTAACAGAGGTGGATCTTTCTTTTGATAGAGCAGTTCTGAAAAACACTTTTTGTTGAATCTGCAAGTGGACATTTGGATAGATTTGAAGATTTCGTTGGAACCGGGAATATCTTCATATCAAATCTAGACAGAAGCATTCTCAGAAACGTCTTTGTGATGTTTGCATTCAACTCATAGAGTTGAACATTCCGTTTCAGAGAGCAGCTTTGAGGCACTCTTTTTGTAGTATGTGCAAGTGGATATTTGGAGCGCTCTGAGGCCTACGGGGAAAAAGCAAATATCTTCCCATAACCACTAGACAGAAACATTCTCAGAAACTCCTTTATGATGTATGCACTCACCTAACAGAGAAGAACCTTCCTTTTGACAGAGCAGTTTTGATGCACTCTTTTTGTAGAATCTGCAAGTGGATATTTGGATAGCTGTGAAGATTTCGTTGGAAACAGGGAATATCTTCCTATAAAATCTAGACAGAAGCATTCTCAGAAACTGCTCTGTGATGTCTGCATTCAAGTCACAGAGTTGAACATTGCCTTTCGTAGAGCAGGTTTGAAACGCTCTTTTTGTAGTATATGGAAGTGGATGTTTCGGACGGTTGGAGGCCCATGGTGATAAAGGGAATATCTTCCCCTACAAGCTAGAAAGAAGCATTCTGTGAAACTTGTTTGTGATGTGTATACTCAACTAACAGAGTTGAACCTTTCTTTTTACAGAGCAGTTTAGAAACACTCTTTTTGTAGAATCTGCGAGGGGATATTTGGATAGATTTCAGGATTTCGTTGGAAACGGGAATATCTTCATTTAAAATCTCGACAGAAGCATTCTCAGAAACTTCTTTGTGATATCTGCATTCAAGTCACAGAGTTGAATATTCCCTTTCACAGAGTAGGTTTGAAACACTCTTTTTGTAGTATCTGGAAGTGGACATTTGGAGCACCTTGACACCTACGGTGAAAAGGGAAATATCTTCCGATAAAAACTAGACAGAAGCAATCTCAGAATCTTCTTTGGGATATATGCACGCAGCTAACAGAGTTGAACCTTTCTATTGACAGAGCAGTTTTGAAACAGTCTTTCTGTGGAATCTGCAAGTGGATATTTGGATAGCTTGGAGGATTTCGTTGGAAACGGGATTAAGTATAAAAGGTAGACAGCAGCATCCTCAGAAACTTCTTTGTGATGTGTGCATTCAAGTCACAGAGTTGAACATTCCCTTTCGTACAGCAGTTTTGAAACACTCTTTCTGTAGTATCTGGAAGTGAACATTAGGACAGCTTTGAGGTCTATGGTGAGAAAGGAAATATCTTCAAATAAAAACTAGACAGAAGCATTCTCATAAACTTGTTTGTGATGTGTGAACTCAGCTAACAGAGGTGGATCTTTCTTTTGATAGAGCAGTTCGGAAAAACACTTTTTGTTGAATCTGCAAGTGGACATTTGGATAGATTTGAAGATTTCGTTGGAAACGGGAATAACTTTATATCAAATCTAGACAGTAGCATTCTCAGAAACGTCTTTGTGATGTTTGCATTCAACTCATAGAGTTGAACATTCCCTTCCAGAGAGCAGCTTTGAAGCACTCTTTTTCTAGCATCTGCAAGTGGACATTTGGAGCGCCCTTAGTCCTAAGGGGAAAAAGCAAATATCTTCCCATAACCACTAGACAGAAACATTCTCAGAAACTCCTTTATGACGTATGCACTCACCTAACAGAAAAGAACCTTCCTTTTGACAGAGCAGTTTTGATACACTCTTTTTGTAGAATCTGCAAGTGGATATTTGGATAGCTGTGAAGACTTCGTTGGAAACGGGAATATCTTCCTATAAAATCTAGACAGAAAGCATTCTCAGAAACTGCTCTGTGATGTCTGCATTCAAGTCACAGAGTTGAACATTGCCTTTCCTAGAGCAGGTTTGAAACGCTCTTTTTGTAGTATATGGAAGTGGACGTTTCGGACGGTTTGAGGCCCATGGTGATAAAGGGAATATCTTCCCCTACAAGCTAGAAAGAAGCATTCTGTGAAACTTGTTTGTGATGTGTGTACTCAACTAACAGAGTTGAACCTTTCTTTTTACAGAGCAGTTTTGAAACACTCTTTTTGTAGAATCTGCGAGGGGATATTTGGAGAGATTTCAGGATTTCGTTGGAAACGGGAATATCTTCATATAAAATCTAGACAGAAGCATTATCAGAAACTTCTTTGTGATATCTGCCTTTAAGTCACAGAGTTGAATATTCCCTTTCACAGAGTAGGTTTGAAACACTCTTTTTGTAGTATCTGGAAGTGGACATTTGGAGCGCCTTGACACCTACGGTGAAAAGGGAAATATCTTCCCATAAAAACTAGACAGAAGCAATCTCAGAATCTTCTTTGGGATATATGCACGCAGCTAACAGAGTTGAACCTTTCTATTGACAGAGCAGTTTTGAAACAGTCTTTCTGTGGAATCTGCAAGTGGATATTTGGATAGCTTGGAGGATTTCGTTGGAAATGGGATTACGTATAAAAAGTAGACAGCAGCATCCTCAGAAACTTCTTTGTGATGTGTGCATTCAAGTCACAGAGTTGAACATTCCCTTTCGTACAGCAGTTTTGAAACACTCTTTCTGTAGTATCTGGAAGTGAACATTAGGACAGCTTTCAGGTCTATGGTGAGAATGGAAATATATTCAAATAAAAACTAGACAGAAGCATTCTGATAAACTTGTTTGTGAAGTGTGAACTCAGCTAACGGAGGTGGATCTTTCTTTTGATAGAGCAGTTCTGAAAAACACTTTTTGTTGAATCTGCAAGTGGACATTTGGATAGATTTGAAGATTTCGTTGGAAACGGGAATATCTTCATATCAAATCTAGACAGAAGCATTCTCAGAAACGTCTTTGTGATGTTGGCATTCAACTCATAGAGTTGAAGATTCCCTTTCAGAGAGCAGCTTTGAAGCACTCTTTTTGTAGTATGTGCAAGGGGATATTTGGAGCGCTCTGAGGCCTAAGGTGAAAAAGCAAATATCTTCCCATAACCACTAGACAGAAACATTCTCAGAAACTCCTTTATGACGTATGCACTCACCTAACAGAGAAGAACCTTCCTTTTGACAGAGCAGTTTTGATACACTCTTTTTGTAGAATCTGCGAGGGGATATTTGGATAGCTGTGAAGATTTCGTTGGAAACGGGAATATCTTCCTATAAAATCTAGACAGAAGCATTCTCAGAAACTGCTCTGTGATGTCTGCATTCAAGTCACAGAGTTGAACATTGCCTTTCCTAGAGCAGGTTTGAAACGCTCTTTTTGTAGTATATGGAAGTGGACGTTTCGGACGGTTGGAGGCCCATGGTGATAAAGGGAATATCTTCCCCTACAAGCTAGAAAGAAGCATTCTGTGAAACTTGTTTGTGATGTGTGTACTCAAGTAACAGAGTTGAACCTTTCTTTTTACAGAGCAGTTTTGAAACACTCTTTCTGTAGAATCTGCGAGGGGATATTTGGATAGATTTCAGGATTTCGTTGGAAACGGGAATATCTTCAGATAAAATCTCGACAGAAGCATTCTCAGAAACTTCTTTGTGATATGTGCATTCAAGTCACAGAGTTGAATATTCCCTTTCACAGAGAAGGTTTGAAGCACTCTTTTTGTAATATCTGGAAGTGGACATTTGGAGCGCCTTGACGCCTACGGTGAAAAGGGAAATATCTTCCCATAAAAACTAGACAGAAGCAATCTCAGAATCTTCTTTGGGATATATGCACGCAGCTAACAGAGTTGAACCTTTCCATTGACAGAGCAGTTTTGAAACAGTCTTTCTGTGGAATCTGCAAGTGGATATTTGGATAGCTTGGAGGATTTCGTTGGAAACGGGATTACGTATAAAAAGTAGACAGCAGCATCCTCAGAAACTTCTTTGTGATGTGTGCATTCAAGTCACAGAGTTGAATATTCCCTTTCGTACAGCAGTTTTGAAACACTCTTTCTGTGAAACACTCATCTGGAAGTGAACATTAGGACAGCTTTCAGGTCTATGGTGAGAAAGGAAATATCTTCAAATAAAAACTAGACAGAAGCATTCTCATAAACTTGTTTGTGATGTGTGAACTCAGATAACAGAGGTGGATCTTTCTTTTGATAGAGCAGTTCTGAAAAACACTTTTTGTTGAATCTGCAAGTGGACATTTGGATAGATTTGAAGATTTCGTTGGAAACGGGAATATCTTCATATCAAATCTAGACAGAAGCATTCTCGGAAACGTCTTTGTGATGTTTGCATTCAACTCATAGAGTTGAACATTCCGTTTCAGAGAGCAGCTTTGAAGCACTCTTTTTGTAGTATGTGCAAGTGGATATTTGGAGCGCTCTGAGGCCTACGGTGGAAAAGCAAATATCTTCCCATAACCACTAGACAGAAACATTCTCAGAAACTCCTTTATGACGTATGTACTCAACTAACGGAGAAGAACCTTCCTTTTGACAGAGCATTTTTGATACACTCTTTTTGTAGAATCTGCAAGTGGATATTTGGATAGCTGTGAAGATTTCATTGGAAACGGGAATATCTTCCTATAAAATCTAGACAGAAGCATTCTCAGAAACTGCTCTGTGATGTCTGCATTCAAGTCACAGAGTTGAACATTGCCTTTCTTAGAGCAGGTTTGAAACGCTCTTTTTGTAGTATATGGAAGTGGATGTTTCGGACGGTTGGAGGCCCATGGTGATAAAGGGAATATCTTCCCCTACAAGCTAGAAAGAAGCATTCTGTGAAACTTGTTTGTGATGTGTGTACTCAACTAACAGAGTTGAACCTTTCTTTTCACAGAGCAGTTTTGAAACACTCTTTTTGTAGAATCTGCAAGGGGATATTTGGATAGATTTCAGGATTTCGTTGGAAACGGGAATATCTTCATATAAAATCTCGACAGAATCATTCTCAGAAACTTCTTTGTGATATCTGCATTCAAGTCACAGAGTTGAATATTGCCTTTCACAGAGTAGGTTTGAAACACTCTTTTTGTAGTATCTGGAAGTGGACATTTGGAGCGCCTTGACACCTACGGTGAAAAGGGAAATATCTTCCCATAAAAACTAGACAGAAGCAATCTCAGAATCTTCTTTGGGATATATGCACGCAGCTCACAGAGTTGAACCTTTCTATTGACAGAGCAGTTTTGAAACAGTCTTTCTGTGGAATCTGCAAGTGGATATTTGGATAGCTTGGAGGATTTCGTTGGAAACGGGATTACGTATAAAAAGTAGACAGCAGCATCCTCAGAAACTTCTTTGTGATGTGTGCATTCAAGTCACAGAGTTGAACATTCCCTTTCGTACAGCAGTTTTGAAACACTCTTTCTGTAGTATCTGGAAGTGAACATTAGGACAGGTTTCAGGTCTATGGTGAGAAAGGAAATATCTTCAAATAAAAACTAGACAGAAGCATTCTCATAAACTTGTTCGTGATGTGTGAACTCAGCTAACACACGTGGATCTTTCTTTTGATAGAGCAGTTCTGAAAAACACTTTTTGTTGAATCTGCAAGAGGACATTTGGATAGATTTGAAGATTTCTTTGGAAACGGGAATATCTTCATATCAAATCTAGACAGAAGCATTCTCAGAAACGTCTTTGTGATGTTTGCATTCAACTCATAGAGTTGAACATTCCGTTTCAGAGAGCAGCTTTGAAGCACTCTTTTTGTAGTATGTGCAAGTGGATATTTGGAGCGCTCTGAGTCCTACGGGGAAAAAACAAATATCTTCCCATAACCACTAGACTGAAACATTCTCAGAAACTCCTTTATGACGTATGCACTCACCTAACAGAGAAGAACCTTCCTTTTGGCAGAGCAGTTTTGATACACTCTTTTTGTAGAATCTGCAAGTGGATATTTGGATAGCTGTGAAGGTTTCGTTGGAAACGGGAATATCTTCCTATAAAATCTAGACAGAAGCATTCTCAGAAACTGCTCTGTGATGTCTGCATTCAAGTCACAGAGTTGAACATTCCCTTTCCTAGAGCAGGTTTGAAACGCTCTTTTTGTAGTATATTGAAGTGGACCTTTCGGATGGTTTGAGGCCCATGGTGATAAAGGGAATATCTTCCCCTACAAGCTAGAAAGAAGCATTCTGTGAAACTTGTTTGTGATGTGTGTACTCAACTAACAGAGTTGAACCTTTCTTTTTACAGAGCAGTTTTGAAACACTCTTTTTGTAGAATCTGTGAGGGGATATTTGGATAGATTTGAGGATTTCGTTGGGAACGGGAATATCTTCATATAAAATCTCGACAGAAGCATTCTCAGAAACTTCTTTGTGATATCTGCCTTTAAGTCACAGAGTTGAATATTCCCTTTCATAGAGTAGGTTTGAAACACTCTTTTTGTAGTATCTGGAAGTGGACATTTGGAGCGCCTTGACACCTACGGTGAAAAGGGAAATATCTTCCCATAAAAACTAGACAGAAGCAATCTCAGAATCTTCTTTGGGATATATGCACGCAGTTAACAGAGTTGAACCTTTCTATTGACAGAGCAGTTTTGAAACAGTCTTTCTGTGGAATCTGCAAGTGGATATTTGGATAGCTTGGAGGATTTCGTTGGAAACGGGATTACGTATAAAACGTAGACAGCAGCATCCTCAGAAACTTCTTTCTGATGTGTGCATTCAAGTCACAGAGTTGAACATTCCCTTTCGTACAGCAGTTTTGAAACACTCTTTCTGTAGTATCTGGAAGTGAACATTAGGACAGCTTTCAGGTCTATGGTGAGAAAGGAAATATCTTCAAATAAAAACTAGACAGAAGCATTCTCATAAAGTTGTTTGTGAGGTGTGAACTCAGCTAACAGAGGTGGATCTTTCTTTTGATAGAGCAGTTCTGAAAAACACTTTTTGTTGAATCTGCAAGTGGACATTTGGATAGATTTGAAGATTTCGTTGGAAACGGGAATATCTTCATATCAAATCTAGACAGAAGCATTCTCAGAAACGTCTTTGTGTTGTTTGCATTCAACTCATAGAGTTGAACATTCCCTTTCAGAGAGCAGCTTTGAAGCACTCTTTTTGTAGCATGTGCAAGTGGACATTTGGAGCGCTCTGAGGCCTACGGGGAAAAAGCAAATATCTTCCCATAACCACTAGACAGAAACATTCTCAGAAACTTCTTTATAACGTATGTACTCAACTAGCAGAGAAGAACTTTCCTTTTGACAGAGCATTTTTGATACACTCTTTTGTAGTATCTGCAAGTGGATATTTGGATAGCTGTGAAGATTTCGTTGGAAACGGGAATATCTTCCTATAAAGTCTGGACAGAAGCATTCTCAGAAACTGCTCTGTGATGTCTGCATTCAAGTCACAGAGTTGAACATTGCCTTTCCTAGAGCAGGTTTGAAACGCTCTTTTTGTAGTATATGGAAGGTGGACGTTTCGGACGGTTTGAGGCCCATGGTGATAAAGGGAATATCTTCCCCTACAAGCTAGAAAGAAGCATTCTCTGAAACTTGTTTGTGATGTGTGTACTCAACTAACAGAGTTGAACCTTTCTTTTTACAGAGCAGTTTTGAAACACTCTTTTTGTAGAATCTGCGAGGGGATATTTGGATAGATTTCAGGATTTCGTTGGAAACGGGAATATCTTCATATAAAATCTCGACAGAAGCATTCTCAGAAACTTCTTTGTGATATCTGCATTCCAGTCACAGAGTTGAATATTCTCTTTCACAGAGTAGTTTTGAAACACTCTTTTTATAGTATCTGGAATTGGACATTTGGAGCGCCTTGACGCCTACGGTGAAAAGGGAAATATCTTCCCATAAAAACTAGACAGAAGCAATCTCAGAATCTTCTTTGGGATATATGTACGCAGCTAACAGTAGTTGAACCTTTCTATTGACAGACCCGTTTTGAAACAGTCTTTCTGTGGAATCTGCAAGTGGATATTTGGATAGCTTGGAGGATTTCTTTGGAAACGGGATTACGTATAAAAAGTAGACAGCAGCATCCTCAGAAACTTCTTTGTGATGTGTGCATTCAAGTCACAGAGTTGAACATTCCCTTTCGTACAGCAGTTTTGAAACACTCTTTCTGTAGTATCTGGAAGTGAACATTAGGACAGCTTTCAGGTCTATGGTGAGAAAGGAAAGATCTTCAAATAAAAACTAGACAGAAGCTTTCTCATAAACTTGTTTGTGATGTGTGAACTCAGCTAACAGAGGTGGATCTTTCTTTTGATACAGCAGTTTTGAAAAACACTTTTTGTTGAATCTGCAAGTGGACATTTGGATAGATTTGAAGATTTCGTTGGAAACGGGAATATCTTCATATCAAATCTAGACAGAAGCATTCTCAGAAACGTCTTTGTGATGTTTGCATTCAACCCATAGAGTTGAACATTCCGTTTCAGAGAGCAGCTTTGAGGCACTCTTTTTGTAGTATGTGCAAGTGGATATTTGGTGCGCTGTGAGGCCTACGGTGAAAAAGCAAATATCTTCCCATAACCACTAGACAGAAACATTCTCAGAAACTCCTTTATGACGTATGCACTCACCTAACAGAGAAGAACCTTCCTTTTGACAGAGCAGTTTTGATACACTCTTTTTGTAGAATCTGCAAGTGGATATTTGGATAGCTGTGAAGATTTCGTAGGAAACGGGAATATCTTCCTATAAAATCTAGACAGAAGCATTCTCAGAAACTACTCTGTGATGTCTGCATTCAAGTCACAGAGTTGAACATTGCCTTTCCTAGAGCAGGTTTGAAACGCTCTTTTTGTAGTATATGGAAGTGGACGTTTCGGACGCTTTGAGGCCCATGGTGATAAAGGGAATATCTTCCCCTACAAGCTAGAAAGAAGCATTCTGTGAAACTTGTTTGTGATGTGTGTACTCAACTAACAGAGTTGAACCTTCCTTTTTAGAGAGCAGTTTTGAAACACTCTTTTTGTAGAATCTGCGAGGGGATATTTGGATAGATTTCAGGATTTCGTTGGAAACGGGAATATCTTCATATAAAATCTCGACAGAAGCATTCTCAGAAACTTCCTTGTGATATGTGCATTCAAGTCACAGAGTTGAATATTCCCTTTCACAGAGTAGGTTTGAAACACTCTTTTTGTAGTATCTGGAAGTGGACATTTGGAGCGCCTTGACGCCCACGGTGAAAAGGGAAATATCTTCCCATCAAAACTAGACAGAAGCAATCTCAGAATCTTCTTTGGGATATATGCACGCAGCTAACAGAGTTGAACCTTTCTATTGACAGAGCAGTTTTGAAACAGTCTTTCTGTGGAATCTGCAAGTGGATATTTGGATAGCTTGGAGGATTTCGTTGGAAACGGGATTACGCATAAAAAGTAGACAGCAGCGTCCTCAGGAACTTCTTTGTGATGTGTGCATTCAAGTCACAGAGTTGAACATTCCCTTCCGTACAGCAGTTTTGAAACACTCTTTCTGTAGTATCTGGAAGTGAACATTAGGACAGCTTTCAGGTCTATGGTGAGAAAGGAAATATCTTCAAATAAAAACTAGACAGAAGCATTCTCATAAACTTGTTTGTGATGTGTGAACTCATCTAACAGAGGTGGATCTTTCTTTTGATAGAGCAGTTCTGAAAAACACTTTTTGTTGAATCTGCAAGTGGACATTTGGATAGATTTGAAGATTTCGTTGGAAACGGGAATATCTTCATATCAAATCTAGACAGAAGCATTCTCGGAAACGTCTTTGTGATGTTTGCATTCAACTCATAGAGTTGAACATTACGTTTCAGAGAGCAGCTTTGAAGCACTCTTTTTGTAGTATGTGCAAGTGGATATTTGGAGCGCTCTGAGGCCTACGGTGAAAAAGCAAATATCTTCCCATAACCACTAGACAGAAACATTCTCAGAAACTCCTTTATGACGTATGCACTCACCTAACGGAGAAGAACCTTCCTTTTGACAGAGCACTTTTGATACACTCTTTTTGTAGAATCTGCAAGTGGATATTTGGATAGCTGTGAAGATTTCGTTGGAAACGGGAATATCTTCTTATAAATTCTAGACAGAAGCATTCTCAGAAACTGCTCTGTGATGTCTGCATTCAAGTCACAGAGTTGAACATTGCCTTTCATAGAGCAGGTTTGAAATGCTCTTTTTGTAGTATATGGAACTGGATGTTTCGGAAGGTTGGAGGCCCATGGTGATAAAGGGAATATCTTCCCCTACAAGCTAAAAAGAAGCATTCTGTGAAACTTGTTTGTGATGTGTGTACTCAACTAACAGAGTTGAACCTTTCTTTTTACAGAGCAGTTTTGAAACACTCTTTTTGTAGAATCTGCGAGGGGATAATTGGATAGATTTCAGGATTTCGTTGGAAACGGGAATATCTTCATATAAAATCTCGACAGAAGCATTCTCAGAAACTTCTTTGTGATATGTGCATTCAAGTCACAGAGTTGAATATTCCCTTTCACAGAGTAGGTTTGAAACACTCTTTTTGTAGTATCTGGAAGTTGACATTTGGAGCGCCTTGACACCTACGGTGAAAAGGGAAATATCTTCCCATAAAAACTAGACAGAAGCAATCTCAGAATCTTCTTTGGGATATATGCACGCAGCTAATAGAGTTGAACTTTTCTATTGACAGAGCAGATTTGAAACAGTCTTTCTGTGGAATCTGCAAGTGGATATTTGGATAGCCTGGAGGATTACGTTGGAAACGGGATTACGTATAAAAAGTAGACAGCAGCATCCTCAGAAACTTCTTTGTGATGTGTGCATTCAAGTCACAGAGTTGAACATTCCCTTTCGTACAGCAGTTTCGAAACACTCTTTCTGTAGTATCTGGAAGTGAACATTAGGACAGCTTTCAGGTCTATGGTGAGAAAGGAAATATCTTCAAATAAAAACTAGACAGAAGAATTCTGATAAACTTGTTTGTGAAGTGTGAACTCAGATAACACAAGTGGATCTTTCTTTTGATACAGCAGTTTTGAAAAACACTTTGTTGAATCTGCAAGTGGACATTTGGATAGATTTGAAGATTTCGTTGGAAACGGGTATATCTTCATAACAAATCTAGACAGAAGCATTCTCAGAAACGTCTTTGTCATGTTTGCATTCAACTCATAGAGTTGAACATTCCGTTTCAGAGAGCAGCTTTGAAACACTCTTTTTGTAGTATGTGCAAGTGGATATTTGGAGCGCTCTGAGGCCTACGGTGAAAAAGCAAATATCTTCCCATAACCACTAGACAGAAACATTCTCAGAAACTCCTTTATGACGTATGCACTCACCTAACAGAGAAGAACCTTCCTTTTGACAGAGCAGTTTTGATACACTCTTTTTGTAGAATCTGCAAGTGGATATTTGGATAGCTGTGAAGATTTCGTTGCAAACGGGAATATCTTCCTATAAAATCTAGACAGAAGCATTCTCAGAAACTGCTCTGTGATGTCTGCATTCAAGTCACAGAGTTGAACATTGCCTTTCATAGAGCAGGTTTGAAACGCTCTTTTTGTAGTATATGGAAGTGGACGTTTCGGACGGTTTGAGGCCCATGGTGTTAAAGGGAATATCTCCCCTACAAGCTAGAAAGAAGCATTCTGTGAAACTTGTTTGTGATGTGTGTACTCAACTAATAGAGTTGAACCTTTCTTTTTACAGAGCAGTTTTGAAACACTCTTTTTGTAGAATCTGCGAGGGGATATTTGGATAGATTTCAGGATTTCGTTGGAAACGGGAATATCTTCATAGAAAATCTCGATAGAAGCATTCTCAGAAACTTCTTTGTGATATCTGCATTCAAATCACAGAGTTGAATATTCCCTTTCACAGAGTAGGTTTGAAACACTCTTTTTGTAGTATCTGGAAGTGGACATTTGGAGCGCTTTGACGCCTACGGTGAAAAGGGAAATATCTTCCCATAAAAACTAGACAGAAGCAATCTCAGAATCTTCTTTGGGATATATGCACGCAGCTAACAGAGTTGAACCTTTCTATTGACAGAGCAGTTTTGAAACAGTCTTTCTGTGGAATCTGCAAGTGGATATTGGATAGCTTGGAGGATTTCGTTGGAAACGGGATTACGTATAAAAAGTAGAACAGCAGCATCCTCAGAAACTTCTTTGTGATGTGTGCATTCAAGTCACAGAGTTGAACATTCCCTTTCGTACAGCAGTTTTGAAACACTCTTTCTGTAGTATCTGGAAGTGAACATTAGGACAGCTTTCAGGTCTATGGTGAGAAAAGAAATATCTTCAAATAAAAACCAGACAGAAACATTCTCATAAACTTGTTTGTGATGTGTGAACTCAGCTAACACAGGTGGATCTTTCTTTTGATAGAGCAGTTCTGAAAAACACTTTTTGTTGAATCTGCAAGTGGACATTTGGATAGATTTGAAGATTTCGTTGGAAACTGGAATATCGTCATATCAAATCTAGACAGAAGCATTCTCGGAAACGTCTTTGTCATGTTTGCATTCAACTCATAGAGTTGAACATTCCGTTTCAGAGAGCAGCTTTGAAGCACTCTTTTTATAGTATCTGCAAGGGGATATTTGGAGTGCTCTGAGGCCTAAGGTGAAAAAGCAAATATCTTCCCATAACCACTAGACAGAAACATTCTCAGAAACTCCTTTATGACGTATGTACTCAACTAACAGAGAAGAACCTTCCTTTTGACAGAGCAGTTTGAATACACTCTTTTTGTAGAATCTGCAAGTGGATATTTGGATAGCTGTGAAGATTTCGTTGGAAACGGGAATATCTTCCTATAAAATCTATACAGAAGCATTCTCAGCAAACTGCTCTGTGATGTCTGCATTCAAGTCACAGAGTTGAACATTGCTTTTCATAGAGCAGGTTTGAAACGCTCTTTTTGTAGTATATGGAAGTAGACGTTTCGGACGGTTTGAGGCCCATGGTGATAAACGGAATATCTTCCCCTACAAGCTAGAAAGAAGCATTGTGTGAAACTTGTTTGTGATGTGTGTACTCAATTAACAGAGCTGAACCTTTCTTTTTACAGAGCAGTTTTGAAACACTCTTTTTGTAGAATCTGCGAGGGGATATTTGGATACATTTCAGAATTTCGTTGGAAACGGGAATATCTTCATATAAAATCTCGACAGAAGCATTCTCAGAAACTTCTTTGTGATATGTGCATTCAAGTCACAGAGTTGAATATTCCCTTTCACAGAGTAGGTTTGAAACACTCTTTTTGTAGTATCTGGAAGTGGATATTTGGAGCGCCTTGACACCTACGGTGAAAAGGGAAATATCTTCCCATAAAAACTAGACAGAAAGCAATCTCAGAATCTTCTTTGGGATATATGCACGCAGCTAACAGAGTTGAACCTTTCTATTGACAGAGCAGGTTTGAAACAGTCTTTCTGTGGAATCTGCAAGTGGATATTTGGATAGCTTGGAGGATTTCGTTGGAAACGGGATTACGTATAAAAAGTAGACAGCAGCATCCTCAGAAACTTCTTTGTGATGTGTGCATTCAAGTCACAGAGTTGAACATTCCCTTTCGTACAGCAGTTTTGAAACACTCTTTCTGTAGTATCTGGAATTGAACATTAGGACAGCTTTCAGGTCTATGGTGAGAAAGGAAATATCTTCAAATAAAAACTAGACAGAAGCATTCTGATAAACTTGTTTGTGAAGTGTGAACTCAGCTAACAGAGGTGGATGTTTCTTTTGATACAGCAGTTTTGAAAAACACTTTGTTGAATCTGCAAGTGGACATTTGGATAGATTTGAAGATTTCGTTGGAAACGGGAATATCTTCATATCAAATCTAGACAGAAGCATTCTCAGAAACGTCTTTGTGATGTTTGCATTCAACTCATAGGGTTGAACATTCCCTTTCAGAGAGCAGCTTTGAAGCACTCTTTTTGTAGCATGTGCAAGTGGACATTTGGAGCGCCCTGAGGCCTACGGGGAAAAAGCAAATATCTTCCCATAACCACTAGACAGAAACATTCTCAGAAATTTCTTTATGACGAATGTACTCAACTAGCAGAGAAGAGCTTTCCTTTTGACAGAGCATTTTTGATACACTTTTTTAGTATCTGCAAGTGGATATTTGAATAGCTGTGAAGATTTCGTTGGAAACGGGAATATCTTCCTATAAACTCTGGACAGAAGCATTCTCAGAAACTGCTCTGTGATGTCTGCATTCAAGTCACAGAGTTGAACATTGCCGTTCATAGAGCAGGTTTGAAACACTCTTTTTGTAGTATATGGAAGTGGACGTTTCGGACGGTTTGAGGCCCATGGTGATAAAGGGAATATCTTCCCCTACAAGCTAGAAAGAAGCATTCTGTGAAACTTGTTTGTGATGTGTGTACTCAACTAACAGAGTTGAACCTTTCTTTTTACAGAGCAGTTTTGAAACACTCTTTTTGTAGAATCTGCGAGGGCATATTTGGATAGATTTCAGAATTTCGTTGGAAAGGGGATTATCTTCATATAAAATCTCGACAGAAGCATTCTCAGAAACTTCTTTGTGATATCTCCATTCAAGTCACAGAGTTGAATATTCCCTTTCACAGAGTAGGTTTGAAACACTCTTTTTGTAGTATCTGGAAGTGGACATTTGGAGCGCCTTGACGCCTACGGTGAAAAGGGAAATATCTTCCCATAAAAACTAGACAGAAGCAATCTCAGAATCTTCTTTGGGATATATGCACGCAGCTAACAGAGTTGAACCTTTCTATTGACAGAGCAGTTTTGAAACAGTCTTTCTGTGGAATCTGCAAGTGGATATTTGGATAGATTGGAGGATTTCGTTGGAAACGGGATTATGTATAAAAAGTAGACAGCAGCATCCTCAGAAACTTATTTGTGATGTGTGCATTCAAGTCACAGAGTTGAACATTCCCTTTCATACAGCAGTTTTGAAACACTCTTTCTGTAGTATCTGGAAGTGAACATTAGGACAGCTTTCAGGTCTATGGTGAGAAAGGAAATATCTTCAAATAAAAACTAGACAGAAGCATTCTCATAAACTTGTTCGTGATGTGTGAACTCAGCTAACACACGTGGATCTTTCTTTTGATAGAGCAGTTCTGAAAAACACTTTTTGTTGAATCTGCAAGAGGACAGTTGGATAGATTTGAAGGTTTCGTTGGAAACGGGAATATCTTCATATCAAATCTAGACAGAAGCATTCTCAGAAACGTCTTTGCGATGTTTGCATTCAACTCATAGAGTTGCACATTCCGTTTCAGAGAGCAGCTTTGAGGCACTCTTTTTGTAGTATGTGCAAGTGGATATTTGGAGCGCTCTGAGGCCTACGGTGAAAAAGCAAATATCTTCCCATAACCACTAGACAGAAACATTCTCAGAAACTCCTTTATGACGTATGTACTCAACTAACAGAGAAGAACCTTCCTTTTGACAGAGCATTTTTGATACACTCTTTTTGTAGAATCTGCAAGTGGATATTTGGATAGCTGTGAAGATTTCGTTGGAAACGGGAATATCTTCCTATAAAATCTAGACAGAAGCATTCTCAGAAACTGCTCTGTGATGTCTGCATTCAAGTCACGGAGTTGAACATTGCCTTTCATAGAGCAGGTTTGAAACGCTCTTTTTGTAGTATATGGAAGTGGACTTATCGGACGGTTTGAGGCCCATGGTGATAAAGGGAATATCTTCCCCTACAAGCTAGAAAGAAGCATTCTGTGAAACTTGTTTGTGATGTGTGTACTCAACTAACAGAGTTGAACCTTTCTTTTCACAGAGCAGTTTTGAAACACTCTTTTTGTAGAATCTGCGAGCGGATATTTGGATAGATTTCAGGATTTCGTTGGAAACGGGAATATCTTCATATAAAATCTCGACGGAAGCATTCTCAGAAACTTCCTTCTGATATGTGCATTCAAGTCACAGAGTTGAATATTCCCTTTCACAGAGTAGGTTTGAAACACTCGTTTTGTAGTATCTGGAAGTGGACATTTGGAGCGCCTTGACGCCTACGGTGAAAAGGGAAATATCTTCCCATAAAAACTAGACAGAAGCAATCTCAGAATCTTCTTTGGGATATATGCACGCAGCTAACAGAGTTGAACCTTTCTATTGACAGAGCAGTTTTGAAACAGTCTTTCTGTGGAATCTGGAAGTGGATATTTGGATAGCTTGGAGGATTTCGTTGGAAACGGGATTACGTATAAAAAGTAGACAGCAGCATCCTCAGAAACTTCTTTGTGATGTGTGCATTCAAGTCACAGAGTTGAACATTCCCTTTCGTACAGCAGTTTTTAAACACTCTTTCTGTAGTATCTGGAAGTGAACATTAGGACAGCTTTCAGGTCTATGGTGAGAAAGGAAATATCTTCAAATAAAAACTAGACAGAAGCATTCTCATAAACATGTTTGCGATGTCTGAACTCAGCTAACAGAGGTGGATCTTTCTTTTGATAGAGCAGTTCTGAAAAACACTTTTTGTTGAATCTGCAAGTGGACATTTGGATAGATTTGAAGATTTCGTTGGAAACGGGAATATCTTCATATCAAATCTAGACAGAAGCATTCTCAGAAACGTCTTTGCGATGTTTGCATTCAACTCATAGAGTTGAACATTCCGTTTCAGAGAGCAGCTTTGAGGCACTCTTTTTGTAGTATGTGCAAGTGGATATTTGGAGCGCTCTGAGGCCTTCGGTGAAAAAGCAAATATCTTCCCATAACCACTAGATGGAAACATTCTCAGAAACTCCTTTATGACGGTATGTACTCACCTAACAGAGAAGAACCTTCCTTTTGACAGAGCAGTTTTGATACACTCTTTTTGTAGAATCTGCAAGTGGATATTTGGATAGCTGTGAAGATTTCGTTGGAAACGGGAATATCTTCCTATAAAATCTAGACAGAAGCATTCTCAGAAACTGCTCTGTGATGTCTGCATTCAAGTCACAGAGTTGAACATTGCCTTTCATAGAGCAGGTTTGAAACGCTCTTTTTGTAGTATATGGAAGTGGACTTATCGGACGGTTTGAGGCCCATTGTGATAAAGGGAATATCTTCCCCTACAAGCTAGAAAGAAGCATTCTGTGAAACTTGTTTGTGATGTGTGTACTCAACTAACAGAGTTGAACCTTTCTTTTTACAGAGCAGTTTTGAAACACTCTTTTTGTAGAATCTGCGAGGGGATATTTGGAGAGATTTCAGGATTTCGTTGGAAACGGGAATATCTTCATATAAATTCTCGACAGAAGCATTCTCAGAAACTTCCTTGTGATATGTGCATTCAAGTCACAGAGTTGAATATTCCCTTTCACAGAGTAGGTTTGAAACACTCTTTTTGTAGTATCTGGAAGTGGACATTTGGAGCGCCTTGACGCCTACGGTGAAAAAGGAAATATCTTCCCATAAAAACTAGACAGAAGCCATCTCAGAATCTTCTTGGGATATATGCACGCAGCTAACAGAGTTGAACCTTTCTATTGACAGAGCAGTTTTGAAACAGTCTTTCTGTGGAATCTGCAAGTGGATATTTGGATAGCTTGGAGGATTTCGTTGGAAACGGGATTACGTATAAAAAGTAGACAGCAGCATCCTCAGAAACTTCTTTGTGATGTGTGCATTCAAGTCACAGAGTTGAACATTCCGTTTCGTACATTAGTTTTGAAACACTCTTTCTGTAGTATCTGGAAGTAAACATTACGACAGCTTTCAGGTCTATGGTGAGAAAAGAAATATCTTCAAATAAAAACTAGACAGAAGCATTCTCATAAACTTGTTTGTGATGTGTGAACTCAGCTAACAGAGGTGGATCTTTCTTTTGATAGAGCAGTTCTGAAAAACTCTTTTTGTTGAATCTGCAAGTGGACATTTGGATAGATTTGAAGATTTCGTTGGAAACGGGAATATCTTCATATCAAATCTAGACAGAGGCATTCTCAGAAACGTCTTTGTGATGTTTGCATTCAACTCATAGAGTTGAACATTCCGTTTCAGAGAGCAGCTTTGAGGCACTCTTTTTGTAGTATGTGCAAGTGGATATTTGGAGCGCTCTGAGGCCTACGGTGAAAAAGCAAATATCTTCCCATAACCACTAGACAGAAACATTCTCAGAAACTCCTTTATGACGTATGCACTCACCTAACAGAAAGGAACCTTCCTTTTGACAGAGCAGTTTTGATACACTCTTTTTGTAGAATCTGCAAGTGGATATTTGGATAGCTGTGAAGATTTCGTTGGAAACGGGAATATCTTCCTATAAAATCTAGACAGAAGCATTCTCAGAAACTGCTCTGTGATGTCTGCATTCAAGTCACAGAGTTGAACATTGCCTTTCATAGAGCAGGTTTGAAACGCTCTTTTTGTAGTATATGGAAGTGGACTTTTCGGACGGTTTGAGGCCCATGGTGATAAAGGGTATATCTTCCCCTACAAGCTAGAAAGAAGCATTCTGTGAAACTTGTTTGTGATGTGTGTACTCAACTAACAGAGTTGAACCTTTCTTTTTACAGAGCAGTTTTGAAACACGCTTTTTGTAGAATCTGCGAGGGGATATTTGGATAGATTTCAGGATTTCGTTGGAAAGGGGAATATCTTCATATAAAATCTCGACAGAAGCATTCTCAGAAACTTCTTTGTGATATGTGCATTCAAGTCACAGAGTTGAATGTTCCCTTTCACAGAGTAGGTTTGAAACACTCTTTTTGTAGTATCTGGAAGTGGACATTTGGAGCGCCTTGACACCTACGGTGAAAAGGGAAATATCTTCCCATAAAAACTAGACAGAAGCAATCTCAGAATCTTCTTTGGGATATATGCACGCAGCTAACAGAGTTGAACCTTTCTATTGACAGAGCAGTTTTGAAACAGTCTTTCTGTGGAATCTGCAAGTGGATATTTGGATAGCTTGGAGGATTTCGTTGGAAACGGGATTAGGTATAAAAGTAGACAGCAAGCATTCTCATAAACTTGTTTGTGATGTGTGAACTCAACTAACACACGTGGATCTTTCTTTTGATAGAGCAGTTCTGAAAAACACTTTTTGTTGAATCTGCAAGTGGACATTTGGATAGATTTGAAGATTTCGTTGGAAACGGGAATATCTTCATATCAAATCTAGACAGAAGCATTCTCATAAACTTGTTTGTGATGTGTGAACTCAGCTAACACACGTGGATCTTTCTTTTGATAGAGCAGTTCTGAAAAACACTTTTTGTTGAATCTGCAAGTGGACATTTGGATAGATTTGAAGATTTCTTTGGAAACGGGAATATCTTCATATCAAATCTAGACAGAAGCATTCTCAGAAACGTCTTTGTGATGTTTGCATTCAACTCTTAGAGTTGAACATTCCCTTTCAGAGAGCAGCTTTGAAGCACTCTTTTTGTAGTATGTGCAAGGGGATATTTGGAGCGCTCTGAGGCCTACGGTGAAAAAGCAAATATCTTCCCATAACCACTAGACAGAAACATTCTCAGAAACTTCTTTATGACGTATGTACTCAACTAGCAGAGAAGAACTTTCCTTTTGATAGAGCATTTTTGATACACTCTTTTTGTACTATCTGCAAGTGGATATTTGGATAGCTGTGAAGATTTCGTTGGAAACGGGAATATCTTCCTATAAAGTCTGGACAGAAGCATTCTCAGAAACTGCTCTGTGATGTCTGCATTCAAGTCACAGAGTTGAACATTGCCTTTCATAGAGCAGGTTTGAAATGCTCTTTTTGTAGTATATGGAAGTGGACTTTTCGGACGGTTTGAGGCCCATGGTGATAAAGGGAATATCTTCCCCTACAAGCTAGAAAGAAGCATTCTGTGAAACTTGTTTGTGATGTGTGTACTCAACTAACAGAGTTGAACCTTTCTTTTTACAGAGCAGTTTTGAAACACTCTTTTTGTAGAATCTGCGAGGGGATATTTGGATAGATTTCAGGATTTCGTTGGAAAGGGGAATATCTTCATATAAAATCGCGACAGAAGCATTCTCAGAAACTTCCTTGTGATATGTGCATTCAAGTCACAGAGTTGAATATTCCCTTTCACAGAGTAGGTTTGAAACACTCTTTTTGTAGTATCTGGAAGTGGACATTTGGAGCGCCTTGACGCCTACGGTGAAAAGGGAAATATCTTCCCATCAAAACTAGACAGAAGAAATCTCAGAATCATCTTTGGGATATATGCACGCAGCTAACAGAGTTGAACCTTTCTATTGACAGAGCAGATTTGAAACAGTCTTTCTGTGGAATCTGCAAGTGGATATTTGGATAGCTTGGAGGATTTCGTTGGAAACGGGATTACGTATAAAAAGTAGACAGCAGCATCCTCAGAAACTTCTTTGTGATGTGTGCATTCAAGTCAAAGAGTTGAACATTCCCTTTCGTACAGCAGTTTTGAAACACTCTTTCTGTAGTATCTGGAAGTGAACATTAGGACAGCTTTCAGGTCTATGGTGAGAAAGGAAATATCTTCAAATAAAAACTAGACAGAAGCATTCTCATAAACTTGTTTGTGTTGTGTGAACTCAGCTAACAGAGGTGGATCTTTCTTTTGATAGAGCAGTTCTGAAAAACACTTTTTGTTGAATCTGCAAGTGGACATTTGGATAGATTTGAAGATTTCGTTGGAAACGGGAATATCTTCATATCAAATCTAGACAGAAGCATTCTCAGAAACGTCTTTGTGATGTTTGCATTCAACTCATAGAGTTGAACATTCCCTTTCAGAGAGGCAGCTTTGAAGCACTCTTTTTGTAGCATGTGCAAGTGGACATTTGGAGCGCCCTGAGGCCTACGGGGAAAAAGCAAATATCTTCCCATAACCACTAGACAGAAACATTCTCAGAAACTCCTTTATGACGTTTGTACTCAACTAACAGAGAAGAACCTTCCTTTTGACAGAGCAGTTTTGATACACTCTTTTTGTAGAATCTGCAAGTGGATATTTGGATAGCTGTGAAGATTTCGTTGGAATCGGGAATATCTTCCTATAAAATCTAGACAGAAGCATTCTCAGAAACTGCTCTGTGATGTCTGCATTCAAGTCACAGAGTTGAACATTGCCTTTCATAGAGCAGGTTTGAAACGCTTTTTTGTAGTATATGGAAGTGGATGTTTCGGACGGTTGGAGGCCCATGGTGATAAAGGGAATATCTTCCCCTACAAGCTAGAAAGAAGCATTCTGTGAAACTTGTTTGTGATGTGTGTACTCAACTAACAGAGTTGAACCTTTCTTTTTACAGAGCAGTTTTGAAACACTCTTTTTGTAGAATCTGCGAGGGGATATTTGGATAGATTTCAGGATTTTGTTGGAAACCGGAATATCTTCATATAAAATCTCGACAGAAGCATTCTCAGAAGCTTCTTTGTGATATGTGCATTCAAGTCACAGAGTTGAATATTCCCTTTCACAGAGTAGGTTTGAAACACTCTTTTTCTAGTATCTGGAAGTGGACATTTAGAGCGCCTTGACGCCTACGGTGAAAAGGGAAATATCTTCTCATAAAAAGTAGACAGAAGCAATCTCAGAATCTTCTTTGGGATATATGTACGCAGCTAACAGAGTTGAACCTTTCTATTGACAGAGCAGTTTTGAAACAGTCTTTCTGTGGAATCTGCAAGTGGATATTTGGATAGCTTGGAGGATTTCGTTGGAAACGGGATTACGTATAAAAAGTAGACAGCAGCATTCTCAGAAACTGCTCTGTGATGTCTGCATTCAAGTCACAGAGTTGAACATTCCCTTTCATACAGCAGTTTTGAAACACTCTTTCTGTAGTATCTGGAAGTGAACATTAGGACAGCTTTCAGGTCTATGGTGAGAAAGGAAATATCTTCAAATAAAAACTAGACAGAAGCATTCTCTTAAACTTGTTTGTGATGTGTGAACTCAGCTAACAGATGTGGATCTTTCTTTTGATATAACAGTTTTGAAAAACTCTTTTTGTTGAATCTGCAAATGGACATTTGGATAGATTTGAAGATTTCGTTGGAAACGGGAATATCTTCATATCAAATCTAGACAGAAAGCATTGTCAGAAACGTCTTTGTGATGTTTGCATTCAACTCACAGAGTTGAACATTCCCTTTCAGAGAGCAGCTTTGAAGCACTCTTTTTGTAGTATGTGCAAGTGGATATTTGGAGCTCTCTGAGGCCTAAGGTGAAAAAGCAAATATCTTCCCATAACCACTAGACAGAAACATTCTCAGAAACTCCTTTATGACGTATGCACTCACCTAACAGAGAAGAACCTTCCTTTTCACAGAGCAGTTTTGATACACTCTTTTTGTAGAATCTGCAAGTGGATATTTGGATAGCTGTGAAGATTTCGTTGGAAACGAGGAATATCTTCCTATAAAATCTAGACAGAAGCATTCTCAGAAACTGCTCTGTGATGTCTGCATTCAAGTCACAGAGTTGAACATTGCCTTTCCTAGAGCAGGTTTGAAATGCTGTTTTTGTAGTATATGGAAGTGGACGTTTCGGACGGTTTGAGGCCCTTGGTGATAAAGGGAATATCTTCCCCTACAAGCTAGAAAGAAGCATTCTGTGAAACTTGTTTGTGATGTGTGTACTCAACTAACAGAGTTGAACCTTTCTTTTTACAGAGCAGTTTTGAAACACTCTTTTTGTACAATCTGCGAGGGGATATTTGGATAGATTTCAGGATTTCGTTGGAAACGGGAATATCTTCATATAAAATCTCGACAGAAGCATTCTCAGAAACTTCTTTGTGATATGTGCATTCAAGTCACAGAGTTGAATATTCCCTTTTACAGAGTAGGTTTGAAACACTCTTTTTGTAGTATCTGGAAGTGAACATTTGGAGCGCCTTGACGCCTACGGTGAACAGGGAAATATCTTCTCATAAAAAGTAGACAGAAGCAATCTCAGAATCTTCTTTGGGATATATGTACGCAGCTAACAGAGTTGAACCTTTCTATTGACAGACCCGTTTTGAAACAGTCTTTCTGTGGAATCTGCAAGTGGATATTTGGATAGCTTGGAGGATTTCTTTGGAAACGGGATTACGTATAAAAAGTAGACAGCAGCATCCTCAGCAAACTTCTTTGTGATGTGTGCATTCAAGTCACAGAGTTGAACATTCCCTTTCGTACAGCAGTTTTGAAATACTCTTTCTGTAGTAACTGGAAGTGAACATTAGGACAGCTTTCAGGTCTATGGTGAGAAAGGAAATATCTTCAAATAAAAACTAGACAGAAGCATTCTCATAAACTTGTTTGTGATGTGTGAACTCAGCTAACACACGTGGATTTTTCTTTTGATAGAGCAGTTCTGAAAAACAATTTTTGTAGAATCTGCAAGTGGACATTTGGATAGATTTGAAGATTTCCTTGGAAACGGGAATATCTTCATATCAAATCTAGACAGAAGCATTCTCAGAAACGTCTTTGTCATGTTTGCATTCAACTCATAGAGTTGAACATTCCGTTTCAGAGAGCAGCTTTGAAGCACTCTTTTTGTAGTATGTGCAAGCGGATATTTGGAGCGCTCTGAGGCCTACGGTGAAAAAGCAAATATCTTCCCATAACCACTAGACAGAAACATTCTCAGAAACTCCTTTATGACGTATGCACTCACCTAACAGAGAAGAACCTTCCTTTTGACAGAGCAGTTTTGATACACTCTTTTTGTAGAATCTGCAAGTGGATATTTTGATACCTGTGAAGATTTCGTTGGAAACGGGAATATCTTCCTATAAAATCTAGACAGAAGCATTCTCAGAAACTGCTCTGCGATGTCTGCATTCAAGTCACAGAGTTGAACATTGCCTTTCCTAGAGCAGGTTTGAAATGCTCTTTTTGTAGTATATGGAAGTGGACGTTTCGGACGGTTTGAGGCCCATGGTGATAAAGGGAATATCTTCCCCTACAAGCTAGAAAGAAGCATTCTGTGAAACTTGTTTGTGAGGTGTGTACTCAACTAACAGAGTTGAACCTTTCTTTTTACAGAGCAGTTTTGAAACACTCTTTTTGTAGAATCTGCGAGGGGATATTTGGATAGATTACAGGATTTCGTTGGAAACGGGAATATCTTCATATAAAATCTCGACAGAAGCATTCTCAGAAACTTCTTTGTGATATCTGCCTTCAAGTCACAGGGTTGAATATTCCCTTTCACAGAGTAGGTTTGAAACACTCTTTTTGTAGTATCTGGAAGTGGACATTTGGAGCGCCTTGACGCCTACGGTGAAAAGGGAAATATCTTCCCATAAAAACTAGACAGAAGCAATCTCAGAATCTTCTTTGGGATATATGCACGCAGCTAACAGAGTTGAACCTTTCTATTGACAGAGCAGTTTTGAAACAGTCTTTCTGTGGAATCTGCAAGTGGATATTTGGTAGCTTGGAGGATTTCGTTGGAAACGGGATTACGTATCAAAAGTAGACAGCAGCATCCTCAGAAACTTCTTTGTGATGTGTGCATTCAAGTCACAGAGTTGAACATTCCCTTTCGTACAGCAGTTTTGAAACACTCTTTCTGTAGTATCTGGAAGTGAACATTAGGACAGCTTCAGGTCTATGGTGAGAAAGGAAATATCTTCAAATAAAAACTAGACAGAAAGCATTCTCATTAACTTGTTTGTGATGTGTGAACTCAGCTAACAGAGGTGGATCTTTCTTTTGATAGAGCAGTTCTGAAAAACATTTTTTGTTGAATCTGCAAGTGGACATTTGGATAGATTTGAAGATTTCGTTGGAAACGGGAATATCTTCATATCAAATCTAGACAGAAGCATTCTCAGAAACGTCTTTGTCATGTTTGCATTCAACTCATAGAGTTGAACATTCCCTTTCAGAGAGCAGGTTTGAAGCACTCTTTTTGTAGTATGTGCAAGTGGATATTTGGAGCGCTCTGAGGCCTACGGTGAAAAAGCAAATATCTTCCCATAACCACTAGACAGAAACATTCTCAGAAACTCCTTTATGACGTATGCACTCACCTAACAGAGAAGAACCTTCCTTTTGACAGAGCAGTTTTGATACACTCTTTTTGTAGAATCTGCAAGTGGATATTTGGATAGCTGTGAAGATTTCGTTGGAAACGGGAATATCCTCCTATAATACCTAGACAGAAGCATTCTCAGAAACTGCTCTGTGATGTCTGCATTCAAGTCACAGAGTTGAACATTGCCTTTCATAGAGCAGGTTTGAAATGCTCTTTTTGTAGTATATGGAAGTGGACGTTTCAGACTGTTTGAGGCCCATGGTGATAAAGGGAATATCTTCCCCTACAAGCTAGAAAGATAGCATTCTGTGAAACTTGTTTGTGATGTGTGTACTCAACTAACAGAGTTGAACCTTTCTTTTTACAGAGCAGTTTTGAAACACTCTTTTTGTAGAATCTGCGAGGGGATATTTGGATAGATTTCAGGATTTCATTGGAAACGGGAATATCTTCATATAAAATCTCGACAGAAGCATTCTCAGAAGCTTCTTTTTGATATGTGCATTCAAGTCACAGAGTTCAATATTCCCTTTCACAGAGTAGGTTTGAAACACTCTTTTTGTAGTATCTGGAAGTGGACATTTGGAGCGCCTTGACGCCTACGGTGAAAAGGGAAATATCTTCTCATAAAAACGTAGACAGAAGTAATCTCAGAATCTTCTTTGGGATATATGCACCCAGCTAACAGAGTTGAACCTTTCTATTGACAGAGCAGTTTTGAAACAGTCTTTCTGTGGAATCTGCAAGTGGATATTTGGATAGCTTGGAGGATTTCGTTGGAAACGGGATTACGTATAAAAAGTAGACAGCAGCATCCTCAGAAGCTTCTTTGTGATGTGTGCATTCAAGTCACAGAGTTGAACATTCCCTTTCGTACAGCAGTTTTGAAACACTCTTTCTGTAGTAACTGGAAGTGAACATTAGGACAGCTTTCAGGTCTATGGTGAGAAAGGAAATATCTTCAAATAAAAACTAGACAGAAGCATTCTCATAAACTTGTTTGTGATGTGTGAACTCAGCTAACAGAGGTGGATCTTTCTTTTGATAGAGCAGTTCTGAAAAACACTTTTGTTGAATCTGCAAGTGGACATTTGGATAGATTTGAAGATTTCGTTGGAAACGGGAATATCTTCATATCAAATCTAGACAGAAGCATTCCCAGAAACGTCTTTGTGATGTTTGCATTCAACTCATAGAGTTGAACATTCCGTTTCAGAGAGCAGCTTTGAAGCACTCTTTTTGTAGTATGTGCAAGGGGATATTTGGAGCGCTCTGAGGCCTACGGTGAAAAAGCAAGTATCTTCCCATAACCACTAGACAGAAACATTCTCAGAAACTCCTTTATGACGTATGCACTCACCTAACAGAGAAGAACCTTCCTTTTGACAGAGCACTTTTGATACACTCTTTTTGTAGAATCTGCAAGTGGATATTTGGATAGCTGTGAAGATTTCGTTGGAAACGGGAATATCTTCCTATAAAATCTAGACAGAAAGCATTCTCAGAAACTGCTCTGTGATGTCTGCATTCAAGTCACAGAGTTGAACATTGCCTTTCATAGAGCAGGTTTGAAACGCTCTTTTTGTAGTATATGTAAGTGGATGTTTCGGACGGTTGGAGGCCCATGGTGATAAAGGGAATATCTTCCCCTACAAGCTAGAAAGAGCATTCTGTGAAACTTGTTTGTGATGTGTGTACTCAACTAACAGAGTTGAACCTTTCTTTTTACAGAGCAGTTTTGAAACACTCTTTTTGTAGAATCTGCGAGCGGATATTTGGATAGATTTCAGCATTTCGTTGGAAACGGGAATATCTTCATATAAAATCTCGACAGATGCATTCTCAGAAACTTCTTTGTGATATGTGCATTCTAGTCACAGAGTTGAATATTCCCTTTCACAGAGTAGGTTTGAAACACTCTTTTTGTAGTATCTGGAAGTGGACATTTGGAGCGCCTTGACGCCTACGGTGAAAAGGGAAATATCTTCCCATAAAAACTAGACAGAAGCAATCTCAGAATCTTCTTTGGGATATATGCACGCAGCTAACAGAGTTGAACCTTTCTATTGACAGAACAGTTTTGAAAGAGTCTTTCTGTGGAATCTGCAAGTGGATATTTGGATAGCTTGGAGGATTTCGTTGGAAACGGGATTACGTATAATAAGTAGACAGCAGCATCCTCAGAAACTACTTTGTGATGTGTGCATTCAAGTCACAGAGTTGAACATTCCCTTTCGTACATCAGTTTTGAAACACTCTTTCTGTAGTATCTGGAAGTGAACACTAGGACAGCTTTCAGGTCTATGGTGAGAAAGGAAATATCTTCAAATAAAAACTAGACAGAAGCATTCTCATAAACTTGTTTGTGATGTGTGAACTCAGCTAACAGAAGTGGATCTTTCTTTTGATAGAGCAGTTCTGAAAAACACTTTTTGTTGAATCTGCAAGTGGACATTTGGATAGATTTGAAGATTTCCCTTGGAAACGGGAATATCTTCATATCAAATCTAGACAGAAGCATTCTCAGAAAACGTCTTTGTGATGTTTGCATTCAACTCATAGAGTTGAACATTCCGTTTCAGAGACCAGCTTTGAAGCACTCTTTTTGTAGTATGTGCAAGTGGATATTTGGAGCGCTCTGAGGCCTACGGTGAAAAAGCAAATATCTTCCCATAACCACTAGACAGAAACATTCTCAGAAACACCTTTAAACGTATGCACTCACCTAACAGAGAAGAACCTTCCTTTTGACAGAGCAGTTTTGATACACTCTTTTTGTAGAATCTGCAAGTGGATATTTGGATAGCTGTGAAGATTTCGTTGGAAACGGGAATATCTTCCTATAAAATCTAGACAGAAGCATTCTCAGAAACTGCTGTGTGATGTCTGCATTCAAGTCACAGAGTTGAACATTGCCTTTCATAGAGCAGGTTTGAAACGCTCTTTTTGTAGTATATGGAAGTGGACGTTTCGGACGGTTTGAGGCCCATGGTGATAAAGGGAATATCTTCCCCTACAAGCTAGAAAGAAGCATTGTGTGAAACTTGTTTGTGATGTGTGTACTCAATAACAGAGTTGAACCTTTCTTTTTACAGAGCAGTTTTGAAACACTCTTTTTGTAGAATCTGCGAGGGGATATTTGGATAGATTTCAGGATTTCGTTGGAAACGGGAATATCTTCATATAAAATCTCGACAGAAGCATTCTCAGAAACTTCTTTGTGATACGTGCATTCTAGTCACACGAGTTGAATATTCCCTTTCACAGAGTAGGTTTGAAACACTCTTTTTGTAGTATCTGGAAGTGGACATTTGGAGCGCCTTGACGCCTACGGTGAAAAGGGAAATATCTTCCCATAAAAACTAGACAGAAGCAATCTCAGAATTTTCTTTGGGATATATGCACACAGCCAACAGAGTTGAACTTTTCTATTGACATAGCAGTTTTGAAACAGTCTTTCTGTGGAATCTGCAAGTGGATATTTGGATAGCTTGGAGGATTTCGTTGGAAACGGGATTACGTATAAAAAGTAGACAGCAGCATCCTGAGAAACTTCCTTGTGATGTGTGCATTCAAGTCACAGAGTTGAACATTCCCTTTCGTACAGCAGTTTTGAAACACTCTTTCTGTAGTATCTGGAAGTGAACATTAGGACAGCTTTCAGGTCTATGGTGAGAAAGGAAATATCTTCAAATAAAAAGTAGACAGAAGCATTCTCATAAACTTGTTTGTGATGTGTGAACTCAGCTAACAGAGGTGGATCTTTCTTTTGATAGAGCAGTTCTGAAAAACACGTTTTGTTAAATCTGCAAGTGGACATTTGGATAGATTTGAAGATTTCGTTGGAAACGGGAATATCGTCATATCAAATCTAGACAGAAGCATTCTCAGAAACGTCTTTGCGATGTTTGCATTCAACTCATAGAGTTGAACATTCCGTTTCAGAGAGCAGCTTTGAGGCACTCTTTTTGTAGTATGTGCAAGTGGATATTTGGAGCGCTCTGAGGCCTACAGTGAAAAAGCAAATATCTTCCCATAACCACTAACAGAAACATTCTCAGAAACTCCTTTATGACGTATGCACTCACCTAACAGAGAAGAACCTTCCTTTTGACAGAGCAGTTTTGGTACACTCTTTTTGTAGAATCTGCAAGTGGATATTTGGATAGCTGTGAAGATTTCGTTGGAAACGGGAATATCTTCCTATAAAATCTAGACAGAAGCATTCTCAGAAAACTGCTCTGTGATGTCTGCATTCAAGTCACAGAGTTGAACATTGCCTTTCCTAGAGCAGGTTTGAAACGCTCTTTTTGTAGTATATGGAAGTGGACGTTTCGGACGGTTTGAGGCCCATGGTGATAAAGGGAATATCTTCCCCTACAAGCTAGAAAGAAGCATTCTGTGAAACTTGTTTGTGAGGTGTGTACTCAACTAACAGAGTTGAACCTTTCTTTTTACAGAGCAGTTTTGAAACACTCTTTTTGTAGAATCTGCGAGGGGATATTTGGATAGATTACAGGATTTCGTTGGAAACGGGAATATCTTCATATAAAATACTCGACAGAAGCATTCTCAGAAACTTCTTTGTGATATCTGCATTCAAGTCACAGAGTTGAATATTGCCTTTCACAGAGTAGGTTTGAAACACTCTTCTTGTAGTATCTGGAAGTGGACATTTTGAGCACCTTGACACCTACGGTGAAAAGGGAAATATCTTCCCATAAAAACTAGACAGAAGCAATCTCAGAATCTTCTTTGGGATATATGCACGCAGCTAACAGAGTTGAACCTTTCTATTGACAGAGCAGTTTTGAAACAGCCTTTCTGTGGAATCTGCAAGTGGATATTTGGATAGCTTGGAGGATTTCGTTGGAAACGGGATTACGTATAATAAGTAGACAGCAGCATCCTCAGTAAACTTCTTTGTGATGTGTGCATTCAAGTCACAGTGTTGAACATTCCCTTTCGTACAGCAGTTTTGAAACACTCTTTCTGTAGTATCTGGAAGTGAACATTAGGACAGCTTTCAGGTCTATGGTGAGAAAGGAAATATCTTCAAATAAAAACTAGACAGAAGCATTCTCATAAACTTGTTTGTGATGTGTGAACTCAGCTAACAGAGGTGGATCTTTCTTTTGATAGAGAAGTTCTGAAAAACACTTTTTGTTGAATCTGCAAGTGGACATTTGGATAGATTTGAAGATTTCGTAGGAAACGGGAATATCTTCATATCAAGTCTAGACAGAAGCATTCTCAGAAACGTCTTTGTGATGTTTGCATTCAACTCATAGAGTTGAACATTCCGTTACAGAGAACAGCTTTGAAGCACTCTTTTTGTAGTATGTGCAAGTGGATATTTGGAGCGCTCTGAGGCCTACGGTGAAAAAGCAAATATCTTCCCATAACCACTAGACAGAAACATTCTCAGAAACTCCTTTATGACGTATGCACTCACGTAACACAGAAGAACCTTCCTTTTGACAGAGCAGTTTTGATACACTCTTTTTGTAGAATCTGCAAGTGGATATTTGGATACCTGTGAAGATTTCGTTGGAAACGGGAATATCTTCCTATAAAATCTAGACAGAAGCATTCTCAGGAACTGCTCTGCGACGTCTGTATTCAAGTCACAGAGTTGAACATTGCCTTTCATAGAGCAGGTTTGAAACGCTCTTTTTGTAGTATATGGAAGTGGACGTTTCGGACGGTTTGAGGCCCATGGTGATAAAGGGAATATCTTCCCCTACAAGCTAGAAAGAAGCATTCTGTGAAACTTGTTTGTGATGTGTGCACTCAACTAACAGAGTTGAACCTTTCTTTTTACAGAGCAGTTTTGAAACACTCTTTTTGTAGAATCTGCGAGGGGATATTTGGATACATTCCTGGATTTCGTTGGAAACGGGAATATCTTCATATAAAATCTCGACAGAAGCATTCTCAGAAACTTCTTTGTGATATGTGCATTCAAGTCACAGAGTTGAATATTCCCTTTCACAGAGTAGGTTTGAAACACTCTTTTTGTAGTATCTGGAAGTGGACATTTGGAGGGCCTTGACACCTACGGTGAAAAGGGAAATATCTTCCCATAAAAACTAGACAGAAGCAATCTCAGAATCTACTTTGGGATATATGCACGCAGCTAACAGAGTTGAACCTTTCTATTGACAGAGCAGTTTTGAAACAGTCTTTCTGTGGAATCTGCAAGTGGATATTTGGATAGCTTGGAGGATTTCGTTGGAAACGGGATTACGTATAAAAAGTAGACAGCAGCATCCTCAGAAACTTCTTTGTGATGTGTGCATTCAAGTCACAGAGTTGAACATTCCCTTTCGTACAGTAGTTTTGAAACACTCTTTCTGTAGTATCTGGAAGTGAACATTAGGACAGCTTTCAGGTCTATGGTGAGAAAGGAAATATCTTCAAATAAAAACTAGACAGAAGCATTCTCATAAACTTGTTTGTGATGTGTGAACTCAGCTAACAGAGGTGGATCTTTCTTTTGATAGAGCAGTTCTGAAAAACACTTTTTGTTGAATCTGCAAGTGGACATTTGGATAGATTTGAAGATTTCGTTGGAAACGGGAATATCTTCATATTAAATCTAGACAGAAGCATTCTCAGAAACGTCTTTGTGATGTTAGCATTCAACTCATAGAGTTGAACATTCCCTTTCAGAGAGCAGCTTTGAAGCACTCTTTTTGTAGTATGTGCAAGTGGACATTTGGAGCGCTTTGAGGCCTACAGGGAAAAAGCAAATATCTTCCCATAACCACTAGACAGGAACATTCTCAGAAACTCCTTTATGACGTATGCACTCACCTAACAGAGAAGAACCTTCCTTTTGACTGAGCAGTTTTGATACACTCTTTTTGCAGAATCTGCAAGTGGATATTTGGATAGCTGTGAAGATTTCGTTGGAAACGGGAATATCTTCCTATAAAATCTAGACAGAAGCATTCTCAGAAACTGCTCTGTGATGTCTGCATTCAAGTCACAGAGTTGAACACTGCCTTTCCTAGAGCAGGTTTGAAACGCTCTTTTTGTAGTATATGGAAGTGGACGTTTCGGATGGTTTGAGGCCCATAGTGATAAAGGGAATATCTTCCCCTACAAGCTAGAAAGAAGCATTCTCTGAAACTTGTTTGTGATGTGTGTACTCAACTAACAGAGTTGAACCTTTCTTTTTACAGAGCAGTTTTGAAACACTCTTTTTGTAGAATCTGCGAGGGGATATTTGGATAGATTTCAGGATTTCGTTGGAAAGGGGAATATCTTCATATAAAATCTCGACAGAAGCATTCTCAGAAACTTCTTTGTGATATCTGCCTTCAAGTCACAGAGTTGAATATTCCCTTTCACAGAGTAGGTTTGAAACACTCTTTCTGTAGTATCTGGAAGTGGACATTTGGAGCGCCTTGACACCTACGGTGAAAAGGGAAATATCTTCCCATAAAAACAAGACAGAAGCAATCTCAGAATCTTACCTTGGGATATATGCACGCAACTAACAGAGTTGAACCTTTCTATTGACAGAGCAGTTTTGAAACAGTCTTTCTGTGGAATCTGCAAGTGGATATTTGGATAGCTTGGAGGATTTCCTTGGAAACGGGATTACGTATAAAAAGTAGACAGCAGCATCCTCAGAAACTTCTTTGTGATGTGTGCATTCAAGTCACAGAGTTGAACATTTCCCTTTCGTACAGCAGTTTTGAAACACTCTTTCTGTAGTATCTGGAAGTGAACATTAGGACAGCTTTCAGCTCTATGGTGAGAAAGGAAATATCTTCAAATAAAAACTAGACAGAAGCATTCTCATAAACTTGTTTGGATGTGTGAACTCAGCTAACAGAGGTGGATCTTTCTTTTGATAGAGCAGTTCTGAAAAACACTTTTTGTTGAATCTGCAAGTGGACATTTGGATAGATTTGAAGATTTCGTTGGAAACGGGAATATCTTCATATCAAATCTAGACAGAAGCATTCTCAGAAACGTCTTTGCGATGTTTGCATTCAACTCATAGAGTTGAACATTCCGTTTCAGAGAGCAGCTTTGAAGCACTCTTTTTGTAGTATGTGCAAGTGGATATTTGGAGCGCTCTGAGGCCTACGGTGAAAAAGCAAATATCTTCCCATAACCACTAACAGAAACATTCTCAGAAACTCCTTTATGACGTATGCACTCACCTAACAGAAAAGAACCTTCCTTTTGACAGAGCAGTTTTGATACACTCTTTTTGTAGAATCTACAAGTGGATATTTGGATAGCTGTGAAGATTTCGTTGGAAACGGGAATATCTTCCTATAAAATCTAGACAGAAGCATTCTCAGAAACTGCTCTGTGATGTCTGCATTCAAGTCACAGAGTTGAACATTGCCTTTCATAGAGCAGGTTTGAAACGCTCTTTTTGTAGTATATGGAAGTGGACTTTTCGGACGGTTGGAGGCCCATGGTGATAAAGGGAATATCTTCCCCTACAAGCTAGAAAGAAGCATTGTGTGAAACTTGTTTGTGATGTGTGTACTCAACTAACAGAGTTGAACCTTTCTTTTTACAGAGCAGTTTTGAAACACTCTTTTTGTAGAATCTGCGAGGGGATATTTGGATACATTTCAGGATTTCGTTGGAAACCGGGAATATCTTCATATAAAATCTCGACAGAAGCATTCTCAGAAACTTCTTTGTGATATCTGCATTCAAGTCACAGAGTTGAATATTCCCTTCCACAGAGTAGGTTTGAAACACTCTTTTTGTGGTATCTGGAAGTGGACATTTGGAGCGCCTTGACGCCTACGGTGAAAAGGGAAATATCTTCCCATAAAAACTAGACAGAAGCAATCTCAGAATCTTCTTTGAGATATATGCACGCAGCTAACAGAGTTGAACCTTTCTATTGACAGAGCAGTTTTGAAACAGTCTTTCTGTGGAATCTGCAAGTGGATATTTGGATAGCTTGGAGGATTTCGTTGGAAACGGGATTACGTATAAAAAGTAGACAGCAGCATCCTCAGAAACTTCTTTGTGATGTGTGCATTCAAGTCACAGAGTTGAACATTCCCTTTCGTACAGCAGTTTTGAAACGCTCTTTCTGTAGTATCTGGAAGTGAACATTAGGACAGCTTTCAGGTCTATGTTGAGAAAGGAAATATCTTCAAATAAAAACTAGACAGAAGCATTCTCATAAACTTGTTTGTGATGTCTGAACTCAGCTAACAGAGGTGGATCTTTCTTTTGATAGAGCAGTTCTGAAAAACACTTTTTGTTGAATCTGCAAGTGGACATTTGGATAGATTTGAAGATTTCGTTGGAAACGGGAATATCTTCATAGCAAATCTAGACAGAAGCATTCTCAGGAAACGTCTTTGTGATGTTTGCATTCAACTCATAGAGTTGAACATTCCCTTTCAGAGAGCAGCTTTGAAGCACTCTTTTTGTAGTATGTGCAAGGGGATATTTGGAGCGCTCTGAGGCCTAAGGTGAAAAAGCAAATATCTTCCCATAACCACTAGACAGAAACATTCTCAGAAACTCCTTTATGACGTATGCACTCACCTAACAGAGAAGAACCTTCCTTTTGACAGAGCATTTTTGATACACTCTTTTTGTAGCATCTGCAAGTGGATATTTGGATATCTGTGAAGATTTCGTTGGAAACGGGAATATCTTCCTATAAAATCTAGACAGAAGCATTCTCAGAAACTGCTTTGTGATGTCTGCATTCAAGTCACAGAGTTGAACATTGCCTTTCATAGAGCAGGTTTGAAACGCTCTTTTTGTAGTATATGGAAGTGGATGTTTCGAACGGTTTGAGGCCCATGGTGATAAAGGAAATATCTTCCCCTAGAAGCGAGAAAGAAGCATTCTGTGAAACTTGTTTGTGATGTGTGTACTCAACTAACAGAGTTGAACCTTTCTTTTCACAGGGCAGTTTTGAAACACTCTTTTTGTAGAATCTGCGATGGGATATTTGGATAGATTTCAGGATTTCGTGGGAAACGGGAATATCTTCATATAAAATCTCGACAGAAGCATTCTCAGAAACTTCTTTGTGATATGTGCATTCAAGTCACAGAGTTCAATATTCCCTTTCACAGAGTAGGTTTGAAACACTCTTTTTGTAGTATCTGGAAGTGGACATTTGGAGCGCCTTGACGCCTACGGTGAAAAGGGAAATATCTTCTCATAAAAAGTAGACAGAAGCAATCTCAGAATCTTCTTTGGGATATATGCACGCAGCTAACAGAGTTGAACCTTTCTATGGACAGAGTAGTTTTGAAACAGTCTTTCTGTGGAATCTGCAAGTGGATATTTGGATAGCTTGGAGGATTTCGTTGGAAACGGGATTACGTATAAAAAGTAGACAGCAGCATCCTCAGAAACTTCTTTGTGATGTGTGCATTCAAGTCACAGAGTTGAACATTCCCTTTCGTACAGCAGTTTTGAAACACTCTTCCTGTAGTATCTGGAAGTGAACATTAGGACAGCTTTCAGGTCTATGGTGAGAAAGGAAATATCTTCAAATAAAAACTAGACAGAAGCATTCTCATAAACTTGTTTGTGATGTGTGAACTCAGCTAACAGAGGTGGATCTTTCTTTTGATAGAGCAGTTCTGAAAAACACTTTTTGTTGAATCTGCAAGTGGACATTTGGATAGATTTGAAGATTTCGTTGGAAACGGGAATATCTTCATATCAAATCTACACAGAAGCATTCTCAGAAACGTCTTTGTGATGTTTGCATTCAACTCATAGAGTTGAACATTCCCTTTCAGAGAGCAGCTTTGAAGCACTCTTTTTGTAGTATGTGCAAGTGGATATTTGGAGCGCTCTGAGGCCTACGGGGAAAAGCAAATATCTTCCCATAACCACTAGACAGAAACATTCTCAGAAACTTCTTTATGACGTATGTACTCAACTAGCAGAGAAGAACTTTCCTTTTGACAGAGCACTTTTGATACACTCTTTTTGTAGTATCTGCAAGTGGATATTTGGATAGCTGTGAAGATTTCGTTGGAATCGGGAATATCTTCCTATAAAGTCTGGACAGAAGCATTCTCAGAAACTGCTCTGTGATGTCTGCATTCAAGTCACAGAGTTGAACATTGCCTTTCATAGAGCAGGTTTGAAACTCTCTTTTTGTAGTATATGGAAGTGGACGTTTCGGACGGTTGGAGGCCCATGGTGATAAAGGGAATATCTTCCCCTACAAGCTAGAAAGAAGCATTCTGTGAAAGTTGTTTGTGATGTGTGTACTCAACTAACAGAGTTGAACCTTTCTTTTTACAGAGCAGTTTTGAAACACTCTTTTTGTAGAATCTGCGAGAGGATATTTGGATAGATTTCAGGATTTCGTTGGAAACGGGAATATCTTCATATAAAATCTCGACAGAAGCATTCTCAGAAACTTCTTTGTGATATGTGCATTCAAGTCACAGAGGTGAATATTCCCTTTCACAGAGTAGGTTTGAAACACTCTTTTTGTAGTATCTGGAAGTGGACATTTGGAGCGCCTTGACGCCTACGGTGAAAAGGGAAATATCTTCCCATAAAAACTAGACAGAAGCAATCTCAGAATCCTCTTTGGGATATATGCACGCAGCTAACAGAGTTGAACCTTTCTATTGACAGAGCAGTTTTGAAACAGTCTTTCTGTGGAATCTGCAAGTGGATATTTGGATAGCTTGGAGGATTTCGTTGGAAACGGGATTACGTATAAAAAGTAGACAGCAGAATTCTCAGAAAGATTTTGTGATATCTGCATTGAAGTCACAGAGTTCAATATTCCCTTTCACATAGAAAGTTTGAAACACTCTTTTTGTAGTACCTGGAAGTGAACATTTCGAGAGCTTTCAGGACTATGGTGAGAAAGGAAATATCTTCAAATAAAAACAAGACAGAAGCATTCTCACAAACTTGTTTGTGTTGTGTGAACTCAACAAACAAAGGTGGATCTTTCTTTTGATACAGCAATTTTGAAAAACACTTTTTGTAGAATCTCCAAGTGGATATTTGGATAGATTTGAAGATTTCTTTGGAAACGGGAATATCTTCATATAAAATCTAGACAGAAGCATTCTCAGAAACGTCTTTGTGATGTTTGCATTCAACTCATAGAGTTGAACATTCCCTTTCAGAGAGCAGCTGTGAAGCACTCTTTTTGTAGTATGTGCAAGTGGATATTTGGAGCGCTCTGAGGCCTACGGTGAAAAAGCAAATATCTTCCCATAACCACTAGACAGAACCATTCTCAGAAACTCCTTTATGACGTATGCACTCACCTAACAGAGAAGAACCTTCCTTTTGACAGAGCAGTTTTGATACACTCTTTTTGTAGAATCTGCAAGTGGATATTTGGATAGCTGTGAAGATTTCGTTGGAAACGGGAATATCTTCCTATAAAATCTAGACAGAAGCATTCTCAGAAACTGCTCTCTGATGTCCGCATTCAAGTCACAGAGTTGAACATTGCCTTTCCTAGAGCAGGTTTGAAACGCTCTTTTGGTAGTATATGGAAGTGGACGTTTCGGACGGTTTGAGGCCCATGGTGATAAAGGGAATATCTTCCCCTACAAGCTAGAAAGAAGCATTGTGTGAAACTTGTTTGTGATGTGTGTACTCAACTAACAGAGTTGAACCTTTCTTTTTACAGAGCAGTTTTGAAACACTCTTTTTGTAGAATCTGCAAGGGGATATTTGGATACATTTCAGGATTTCGTTGGAAACGGGAATATCTTCATATAAAATACTCGACAGAAGCATTCTCAGAAACTTCTTTGTGATATGTGCATTCAAGTCACAGAGTTGAATATTCCCTTTCATAGAGTAGGTTTGAAACACTCTTTTTGTAGTATCTGGAAGTGGACATTTGGAGCGCCTTGACGCCTACGGTGAAAAGGGAAATATCTTCCCATAAAAACTAGACAGAAGCAATCTCAGCATCTTCTTTGGGATATATGCATGCAGCTAACAGAGTTGAACCTTTCTATTGACAGAGCAGTTTTGAAACAGTCTTTCTGTGGAATCTGCAAGTGGATATTTGGATAGCTTGGAGGATTTCGTTGGAAACGGGATTACGTATAAAAAGTAGACAGCAGCATCCTCAGAAACTTCTTTGTGATGTGTGCATTCAAGTCACAGAGTTGAATATTCCCTTTCACAGAGTTGGTTTGAAACACTCTTTTTGTACTATCTGGAAGTGGACATTTGGAGCGCCTTGACACCTACGGTGAAAAGGGAAATATCTTCCCATAAAAACTAGACAGAAGCATTCTCATAAACTTGTTTGTGATGTGTGAACTCAGCTAACACAGGTGGATCTTTCTTTTGATTGAGCAGTTCTGAAAAACACGTTTTGTTGAATCTGCAAGTGGACATTTGGATAGATTTGAAGATTTCGTTGGAAACGGGAATATCTTCATATCAAATCTAGACAGAAGCATTCTCAGGAAACGTCTTTGTGATGTTTGCATTCAACTCATAGAGTTGAACATTCACTTTCAGAGAGCAGCTTTGAAGCACTCTTTTTGTAGTATGTGCAAGTGGATATTTTGATCGCTCTGTGGCCTACGGTGAAAAAGCAAATATCTTCCCATAACCACTAGACAGAAACATTCTCAGAAACTCCCTTATGACGTATGCACTCACCTAACAGAGAAGAACCTTCCTTTTGACAGAGCAGTTTTGATACACTCTTTTTGTAGAATCTGCAAGTGGATATTTGGATAGCTGTGAAGATTTCGTTGGAAACGGGAATATCTTCCTATAAAATCTATACAGAAGCATTCTCAGAAACTGCTCTGTGATGTCTGCATTCAAGTCACAGAGTTGAACATTGCCTTTCCTAGAGCAGGTTTGAAACGCTCTTTTTGTAGTATATGGAAGTGGACGTTTCGGACGGTTTGAGGCCCTTGGTGATAAAGGGAATATCTTCCCCTACAAGCTAGAAAGAAGCATTCTGTGAAACTTGTTTGTGATGTGTGTACTCAACTAACAGAGTTGAACCTTTGTTTTTACAGAGCAGTTTTGAAACACTCTTTTTGTAGAATCTGCGAGGGGATATTTGGATACATTTCAGCATTTCGTTGGAAACGGGAATATCTTCATATAAAATCTCGACAGAAGCATTCTCAGAAACTTCTTTGTGATATGTGCATTCAAGTCACAGAGTTGAATATTCCCTTTCACAGAGTAGGTTTGAAACACTCTTTTTCTAGTATCTGGAAGTGGACATTTGGAGCACCTTGACACCTACGGTGAAAAGGGAAATATCTTCTCATAAAAAGTAGACAGAAGCAATCTCAGAATCTTCTTTGGGATATATGTACGCAGCTAACAGAGTTGAACCTTTCTATTGACAGAGCAGTTTTGAAACAGTCTTTCTGTGGAATCTGCAAGTGGATATTTGGATAGCTTGGAGGATTTCGTTGGAAACGGGATTACGTATAAAAAGTAGACAGCAGCATCCTCAGAAACTTCTTTGTGATGTGTGCATTCAAGTCACAGAGTTGAACATTCCCTTTCGTACAGCAGTTTTGAAACACTCTTTCTGTAGTATCTGGAAGTGAACATTAGGACAGCATTCAGGTCTATGGTGAGAAAGGAAATATCTTCAAATAAAAACTAGACAGAAGCATTCTCATAAACTTGTTTGTGATGTGTGAACTCAGCTAACAGAGGTGGATCTTTCTTTTGATAGAGCAGTTCTGAAAAACACTTTTTGTTGAATCTGCAAGTGGACATTTGGATAGATTTGAAGATTTCGTTGGAAACGGGAATATCTTCATATCAAATCTAGATAGAAGCATTCTCAGAAACGTCTTTGTGATGTTTGCATTCAACTCATAGAGTTGAAAATTCCCTTTCAGAGAGCAGCTTTGAAGCACTCTTTTTGTAGTATGTGCAAGGGGATATTTGGAGCGCTCTGAGGCCTAAGGTGAAAAAGCAAATATCTTCCCATAACCACTAGACAGAAACATTCTCAGAAACTCCTTTATGACGTATGTACTCAACTAACAGAGAAGAACCTTCCTTTTGATAGAGCAGTTTTGATACACTCTTTTTGTAGAATCTGCAAGTGGATATTTGGATAGCTGTGAAGATTTCGTTGGAAACTGGAATATCTTCCTATAAAATCTAGACAGAAGCATTCTCAGAAACTGCTCTGTGATGTCTGCATTCAAGTCACTAGAGTTGAACATTGCCTTTCATAGAGCAGGTTTGAAACGCTCTTTTTGTAGTATATGGAAGTGGACGTTTCGGACGGTTTGAGGCCCATGGTGATAAAGGGAATATCTTCCCCTACAAGCTAGAAAGAAGCACTCTGTGAAACTTGTTTGTGATGTGTGTACTCAACTAACAGAGTTGAACCTTTCTTTTTACAGAGCAGTTTTGAAACACTCTTTTTGTAGAATCTGCGAGGGGATATTTGGATAGATTTCAGGATTTCGTTGGAAACGGGAATATCTTCATATAAAATCTCGACAGAAGCATTCTCAGAAACTTCTTTGTGATATGTGCATTCAAGTCACAGAGTTGAATATTCCCTTTCACAGAGTAGGTTTGAAACACTCTTTTTGTAGTATCTGGAAGTGGACATTTGGAGCGCCTTGACACCTACGGTGAAAAGGGAAATATCTTCCCATAAATACTAGACAGAAGCAATCTCAGAATCTCCTTTGGGATATATGCACGCAGCTAACAGAGTTGAACCTTTCTATTGACAGACCAGTTTTGAAACAGTCTTTCTGTGGAATCTGCAAGTGGATATTTGGATAGATTGGAGGATTTCGTTGGAAACGGGATTACGTATAAAAAGTAGACAGCAGCATCCTCAGAAACTTCTTTGTGATGTGTGCATTCAAGTCACAGAGTTGAACATTCTCTTTCGTACAGCAGTTTTGAAATGCTCTTTCTGTAGTATCTGGAAGTGAACATTAGGACAGCTTTCATGTCTATGGTGAGAAAGGAAATATCTTCAAATAAAAACTAGACAGAAGCATTCTCATAAGCTTGTTTGTGATGTGTGAACTCAGCTAACAGAGGTGGATCTTTCTTTTGATAGAGCAGTTCTGAAAAACACTTTTTGTTGAATCTGCAAGTGGACATTTGGATAGATTTGAAGATTTCTTTGGAAACGGGAATATCTTCATATCAAATCTAGACAGAAGCATTCTCAGAAACGTCTTTGCGATGTTTGCATTCAACTCATAGAGTTAAACATTCCGTTTCAGAGAGCAGCTTTGAGGCACTCTTTTTGTAGTATGTGCAAGTGGATATTTGGAGCGCTCTGAGGCCTACGGTGAAAAAGCAAATATCTTCCCATAACCACTAGACAGAAACATTCTCAGAAACTTCTTTATGACGTATGTACTCAACTAGCAGAGAAGAACTTTCCTTTTGACAGAGCATTTTTGATACACTCTTTTTGTACTATCTGCAAGTGGATATTTGGATAGCTGTGAAGATTTCGTTGGATACGGGAATATCTTCCTATAAAGTCTGGACAGAAGCATTCTCAGAAACTGCTCTGTGACGTCTGCATTCAAGTCACAGAGTTGAACATTGCCTTTCATAGAGCAGGTTTGAAACGCTCTTTTTGTAGTATATGGAAGTAGACGTTTCGGACGGTTTGAGGCCCATGGTGATAATGGGAATATCTTCCCCTACAAGCTAGAAAGAAGCATTCTGTGAAACTTGTTTGTGATGTGTGTACTCAACTAACAGAGTTGAACCTTTCTTTTTACAGAGCAGTTTTGAAACACTCTTTTTGTAGAATCTGCGAGGGGATATTTGGATAGATTTCAGGATTTCGTTGGAAACGGGAATATCTTCATATAAAATACTCGACAGAAGCATTCTCAGAAACTTCTTTGTGATATGTGCATTCAAGTCACAGAGTTGAATATTCCCTTTCACAGAGTAGGCTTGAAACACTCTTTTTGTAGTATCTGGAAGTGGACATTTGGAGCGCCTTGACACCTACGGTGAAAAGGGAAATATCTTCCCATAAAAACTAGACAGAAAGTAATCTCAGAAACTTCTTTGGGATATATGCACGCAGCTAACAGAGTTGAACCTTTCTATTGACAGAGCAGTTTTGAAACAGTCTTTCTGTGGAATCTGCAAGTGAATATTTGGATAGCTTGGAGGATTTCGTTGGAAACGGGATTACGTATAAAAAGTAGACAGCAGCATCCTCAGAAACTTCTTTGTGATGTGTGCATTCAAGTCACAGAGTTGAACATTCCCTTTCGTACAGTAGTTTTGAAACACTCTTTCTGTAGTATCTGGAATTGAACATTAGGACAGCTTTCAGGTACTATGGTGAGAAAGGAAATATCTTCAAATAAAAACTAGACAGAAGCATTCTCATAAACTTGTTTGTGATGTGTGAACTCAGCTAACAGAGGTGGATCTTTCTTTTGATAGAGCAGTTCTGAAAAACACTTTTTGTTGAATCTGCAAGTGGACATTTGGATAGATTTGAAGATTTCGTTGCAAACGGGAATACCTTCATATCAAATCTAGACAGAAGCATTGTCAGAAACGTCTTTGTGATGTTTGCATTCAACTCATAGAGTTGAACATTCCGTTTCAGAGAGCAGCTTTGAGGCACTCTTTTTGTAGTATGTGCAAGTGGATATTTGGAGCGCTCTGAGGCCTACGGTGAAAAAGCAAATATCTTCCCATAACCACTAGACAGAAACATTCTCAGAAACTCCTTTATGACGTATGCACTCACCTAACAGAAAAGAACCTTCCTTTTGACAGAGCAGTTTTGATACACACTTTTTGTAGAATCTGCAAGTGGATATTTGGATAGCTGTGAAGATTCCGTTGGAAACGGGAATATCTTCCTATAAAATCTAGACAGAAGCATTCTCAGAAACTGCTCTGTGATGTCTGCTTTCAAGTCACAGAGTTGAACATTGCCTTTCATAGAGCAGGTTTGAAACGCTCTTTTTGTAGTATATGGAAGTGGATGTTTCGGACGGTTGGAGGCCCATGGTGATAAAGAGAATATCTTCCCCTACAAGCTAGAAAGAAGCATTCTGTGAAACTTGTTTGTGATGTGTGTACTCAACTAACAGAGTTGAACCTTTCTTTTTACAGAACAGTTTTGAAACACTCTTTTTGTAGAATCTGCGAGGGGATATTTGGATACATTTCAGCATTTCGTTGGAAACGGGAATATCTTCATATAAAATCTCGACAGAAGCATTCTCAGAAACTTCTTTGTGATATCTGCATTCAAGTCACAGAGTTGAATATTCCCTTTCACAGAGTAGGTTTGAAACACTCTTTTTGTAGTATCTGGAAGTGGACATTTGGAGCGCCTTGACACCTACGGTGAAAAGGGAAATATCTTTCCATAAAAACTAGACAGAAGCAATCTCAGAATCTTCTTTGGGATATATGCACGCAGCTAACAGAGTTGAACCTTTCTATTGACAGAGTAGTTTTGAAACAGTCTTTCTGTGGAATCTCCAAGTGGATATTTGGATAGCTTGGAGTATTTCGTTGGAAACGGGATTACGTATAAAAAGTAGACAGCAGCATCCTCAGAAACTTCTTTGTGATGTGTGCATTCAAGTCACAGAGTTGAACATTCCCTTTCGTACAGCAGTTTTGAAACGCTCTTTCTGTAGTATCTGGAAGTGAACATTAGGACAGCTTTCAGGTCTATGTTGAGAAAGGGAATATCTTCAAATAAAAACTAGACAGAAGCATTCTCATAAACCTTTTTGTGATGTGTGAACTCAGCTAACAGAGGTGGATCTTTCTTTTGATAGAGCAGTTCTGAAAAACACTTTTTGTTGAATCTGCAAGTGGACATTTGGATAGATTTGAAGATTTCGTTGGAAACGGGAATATCTTCATATCAAATCTAGACAGAAGCATTCTCAGAAACGTCTTTGCGTTGTTTGCATTCAACTCATAGAGTTGAACATTCCGTTTCAGAAAGCAGCTTTGAGGCACTCTTTTTGTAGTATGTGCAAGTGGATATTTGGAGCGCTCTGAGGCCTACGGTGAAAAAGCAAATATCTTTCCATAACCACTAGACAGAAACATTCTCAGAAACTCCTTTATGACGTATGCACTCACCTAACAGAGAAGAACCTTCCTTTTGACAGAGCAGTTTTGATGCACTCTTTTTGTAGAATCTGCAAGTGGATATCTGGATAGCTGTGAATATTTCGTTGGAAACGGGAATATCTTCCTATAAAATCTAGACAGAAGCATTCTCAGAAACTGCTCTGTGATGTCTGCATTGAAGTCACAGAGTTGAACATTGCCTTTCCTAGAGCAGGTTTGAAACGCTCTTTTTGTAGTATATGGAAGTGGACGTTTCGGACGGTTGGAGGCCCAGGGTGATAAAGGGAATATCTTCCCCTACAAGCTAGAAAGAAGCATTCTGTGAAACTTGTTTGTGATGTGTGTACTCAACTAACAGAGTTGAACCTTTCTTTTCACAGAGCAGTTTTGAAACACTCTTTTTGTAGAATCTGCGAGGGGATATTTGGATAGATTTCAGGATTTCTTTGGAAACGGGAATATCTTCATATAAAATCTCGACAGAAGCATTCTCAGAAACTTCTTTGTGATATGTGCATTCAAGTCACAGAGTTGAATATTCCCTTTCACAGAGTAGGTTTGAAACACTCTTTTTGTAGTATCTGGAAGTGGACATTTGGAGCGCCTTGACGCCTACGGTGAAAAGGGAATATCTTCCCATAAAAACTAGACAGAAGCAATCTTAGAATCTTCTTTGGGATATATGCACGCAGCTAACAGAGTTGAACCTTTCTATTGACAGAGCAGTTTTGAAACAGTCTTTCTGTGGAATCTGCAAGTGGATATTTGGATAGATTGGAGGATTTCGTTGGAAACGGGATTACGTATAAAAAGTAGACTGCAGCATCCTCAGAAACTTCTTTGTGATGTGTGCATTCAAGTCACAGTGTTGAACATTCCCTTTCGTACAGCAGTTTTGAAACACTCTTTCTGTAGTATCTGGAAGTGAACATTAGGACAGCTTTCAGCTCTATGGTGAGAAAGGAAATATCTTCAAATAAAAACTAGACAGAAGCATTCTCATAAACTTGTTTGTGATGTGTGAACTCAGCTAACAGAGGTGGATCTTTCTTTTGATAGAGCAGTTCTGAAAAACACTTTTTGTTTAATCTGCAAGTGGACATTTGGATAGATTTGAAGATTTCGTTGGAAACGGGAATATCTTCATATCAAATCTAGACAGAAGCATTCTCGGAAACGTCTTTGTGATGTTTGCATTCAACACATAGAGTTGAACATTCCGTTTCAGAGAGCAGCTTTGAAGCACTCTTTTTGTAGTATGTGCAAGTGGATATTTGGAGCACTCTGAGGCCTAGGGTGAAAAAGCAAATATCTTCCCATAACCACTAGACAGAAACATTCTCAGAAACTCCTTTATAACGTATGCACTCACCTAACAGAGAAGAACCTTCCTTTTGACAGAGCAGTTTTGATACACTCTTTTTGTAGAATCTGCAAGTGGATATTTGGATAGCTGTGAAGATTTCGTTGGAAACGGGAATATCTTCCTATAAAATCTAGAGAGAAGCATTCTCAGAAACTGCTCTGTGATGTCTGCATTCAAGTCACAGAGTTGAACATTGCCTTTCATAGAGCAGGTTTGAAATGCTCTTTTTGTAGTATATGGAAGTGGACGTTTCGGACGGTTTGAGACCCATGGTGATAAAGGGAATATATTCCCCTACAAGCTAGAAAGAAGCATTCTGTGAAACTTGTTTGTGATGTGTGTACTCAACTAACAGAGTTGAAACTTTCTTTTTACAGAGCAGTTTTGAAACACTCTTTTTGTAGAATCTGCGAGGGGATATTTCGATAGATTTCAGGATTCCGTTGGAAACGGGAATATCTTCATATAAAATCTCGACAGAAGCATTCTCAGAAACTTCTTTGTGATATGTGCATTCAAGTTACAGAGTTGAATATTCCCTTTCACAGATTAGGTTTGAAACACTCTTTTTGAGGCATCTGGAAGTGGACATTTGGAGCGCCTTGACGCCTACGGTGAAAAGGGAAATATCTTCCCATAAAAACTAGACAGAAGCAATCTCAGAATCTTCTTTGGGATATATGCACGCAGCTAACAGAGTTGAACCTTTCTATTGACAGAGCAGTTTTGAAACAGTCTTTCTGTGGAATCCGCAAGTGGATATTTGGATAGATTAGAGGATTTCGTTGGAAACGGGATTACGTATAAAAAGTAGACAGCAGCATCCTCAGAAACTTCTTTGTGATGTGTGCATTCAAGTCACAGATTTGAACATTCCCTTTCGTACAGCAGCTTTGAAACACTCTTTCTGTAGTATCTGGAAGTGAACATTAGGACAGCTTTCAGGTCTATGGTGAGAAAGGAAATATCTTCAAATAAAAACTAGACAGAAGCATTCTCATAAACCTGTTTGTGATGTGTGAACTCAGCTAACAGAGGTGGATCTTTCTTTTGATAGAGCAGTTCTGAAAAACACTTTTTGTTGAATCTGCAAGTGGACATTTGGATAGATTTGAAGATTTCGTTGGAAACGGGAATATCTTCATATCAAATCTAGACAGAAGCATTCGCGGTAACGTCTTTGTGATGTTTGCATTCAACTCATAGAGTTGAACATTCCGTTTCAGAGAGCAGCTTTGAAGCACTCTTTTTGTAGTATGTGCAAGTGGATATTTGGAGCGCTCTGAGGCCTACGGTGAAAAAGCAAATATCTTCCCATAACCACTAGACAGAAACATTCTCAGAAACTTCTTTATGACGTATGTACTCAACTAGCAGAGAAGAACTTTCCTTTTGACAGAGCATTTTTGATACACTCTTTTTGTAGTATCTGCAAGTGGATATTTGGATAGCTGTGAAGATTTCGTTGGAAACGGGAATATCTTCCTATAAAGTCTGGACAGAAGCATTTTCAGAAACTGCTCTGTGATGTCTGCATTCAAGTCACAGAGTTGAACATTGCCTTTCATAGAGCAGGTTTCAAACACTCTTTTTTTAGTATATGGAAGTGGACGTTTCGGACGGTTTGAGGACCATGGTGATAAAGGAAATATCTTCCCCTACAAGCTAGAAAGAAGCATTCTGTGAAACTTGTTTGTGATGTGTGTACTCAACTAACAGAGTGGAACCTTTCTTTTTACAGAGCAGTTTTGAAACACTCTTTTTGTAGAATCTGCGAGGGGATATTTGGATAGATTTCAGGATTTCGTTGGAAACGGGAATATCTTCATATAAAATCTCGACAGAAGCATTCTCAGAAACTTCATTGTGATATCTGCATTCAAGTCACAGAGTGGAATATTCCCTTTCACAGAGTAGGTTTGAAACACTCTTTTTGTAGTATCTGGAAGTGGACCTTTGGAGCGCCTTGACACCTACGGTGAAAAGGGAAATATCTTCCCGTAAAAACTAGACAGAAGCAATCTCAGAATCTTCTTTGGGATATATGCACGCAGCTAACAGAGTTGAACCTTTCTATTGACAGAGCAGTTTTGAAACAGTCTTTCTGTGGAATCTGCAAGTGGATGTTTGGATAGATTGGAGGATTTCGTTGGAAACGGGATTACGTATAAAAAGTAGACAGCAGCATCCTCAGAAACTTATTTGTGAGGTGTGCATTCAAGTCACAGAGTTGAACATTCCCTTTCGTACAGCAGTTTTGAAACACTGTTTCTGTAGTATCTGGAAGTGAACATTAGGACAGCTTTCAGGTCTATGGTGAGAAAGGAAATATCTTCAAATAAAAACTAGACAGAAACATTCTCATAAATTTGTTTGTGATGTGTAAACTCAGCTAACAGTCGTGGATCTTTCTTTTGATACAGCAGTTTTGAAAAACACTTTTTGTTGAATCTGCAAGTGGACATTTGGATAGATATGAAGATTTCGTTGGAAACGGGAATATCTTCATATCAAATCTAGACAGAAGCATTCTCAGAAACGTCTTTGTGATGTTTTCATTCAACTCATAGAGTTGAACATTCCGTTTCAGAGACCAGCTTTGAAGCACTCTTTTTGTAGTATGTGCAAGTGGATATTTGGAGCGCTCTGAGGCCTACGGTGAAAAAGCAAATATCTTCCCATAACCACTAGACAGAAACATTCTCAGAAACTCCTTTATGACGTATGCACTCACCTAACAGAGAAGAACCTTCCTTTTGACAGAGCAGTTTTGATACACTCTTTTTGTAGAATCTGCAAGTGAATATTTGGATACCTGTGAAGATTTCGTTGGAAACGGGAATATCTTCCTATAAAATCTAGACAGAAAGCATTCTCAGAAACTGCTCTGTGATGTCTGCATTCAAGTCACAGAGTTGAACATTGCCTTTCATAGAGCAGGTTTGAAACGCTCTTTTTGTAGTATATGGAAGTGGATGTTTCGGACGGTTGGAGGCCCATGGTGATAAAGGGAATATCTTCCTCTACAAGCTAGAAAGAGAAGCATTCTGTGAAACTTGTTTGTGATGTGTGTACTCAACTAACAGAGTTGAACCTTTCTTTTTACAGAGCAGTTTTGAAACACTCTTTTTGTAGAATCTGCGAGGGGATATTTGGATAGATTTCAGGATTTCTTTGGAAAGGGGAATATCTTCATATAAAATCTCGACAGAAGCATTCTCAGAAACTTCTTTGTGATATCTGCATTCAAGTCACAGAGTTGAATATTCCCTTTCACAGAGTAGGTTTCAAACATTCTTTTTGTAGTATCTGGAAGTGGACATTTGGAGCGCCTTGACGCCTACGGTGAAAAGGGAAATATCTTCCCATAAAAACTAGACAGAAGCAATCTCAGAATCTTCTTTGGGATATATGCACGCAGCTAAGAGAGTTGAATCTTTCTATTGACAGAGCAGATTTGAAACAGTCTTTCTGTGGAATCTGCAAGTGGATATTTGGATAGATTGGAGGATTTCGTTGGAAACGGGTTTACGTATAAAAAGTAGACAGCCAGCATCCTCAGAAACTTCTTTGTGATGTGTGCATTCAAGTCACAGAGTTGAACATTCCCTTTCGTACAGCAGTTTTGAAACACTCTTTCTGTAGTATCTGGAAGTGAACATTAGGACAGCTTTCAGGTCTATGGTGAGAAAGGAAATATCTTCAAATAAAAACTAGACAGAGCATTCTGATAAACTTGTTTGTGAAGTGCGAACTCAGCTAACAGAGGTGGATCTTTCTTTTGAAACAGCAGTTTTAAAAAACACTTTTTGTTGAATCTGCAAGTGGACATTTGAATAGATTTGAAGATTTCGTTGGAAACAGGAATACCTTCATATGAAATCTAGACAGAAGCATTCTCAGAAACGTCTTTGTGATGATTGCATTCAACTCATAGAGTTGAACATTCCGTTTCAGAGAGCAGCTTTGAAGCACTCTTTTTGTAGTATGTGCAAGTGGATATTTGGAGTGCTCTGGGGCCTACGGTGAAAAAGCAAATATCTTCCCATAACCACTAGACAGAAAACATTCTCAGAAACTCCTTTATGACGTATGCACTCACCTAACAGAGAAGAACCTTCCTTTTGACAGAGCAGTTTTGATACACTCTTTTTGTAGAATCTGCAAGTGGATATTTCGATAGCTGTGAAGATTTTGTTGGAAACGGGAATATCTTCCTATAAAATCTAGACAGAAGCATTCTCTGAAACTGCTCTGTGATGTCTGCATTCAAGTCACAGAGTTGAACGTTGCCTTTCATAGAGCAGGTTTCAAACACTCTTTTTTTAGTATATGGATGTGGACGTTTCGGACGGTTTGAGGACCATGGTGATAAAGGAAATATCTTCCCCTACAAGCTAGAAAGAAGCATTCTGTGAAACTTGTTTGTGATGTGTGTACTCAACTAACAGAGTTGAACCTTTCTTTTTACAGAGCAGTTTTGAAACACTCTTTTTGTAGAATCTGCGAGGGGATATTTGGATAGATTTCAGGATTTCGTTGGAAACGGGAATATCTTCATATAAAATCTTGACAGAAGCATTCTCAGAAACTTCCTTGTGATATGTGCATTCAAGTCACAGAGTTGAATATTCCCTTTCACAGAGTAGGTTTGAAACACTCTTTTTGTAGTATCTGGAAGTGGTCATTTGGAGCGCCTTGACGCCCACGGTGAAAAGGGAAATATCTTCCCATAAAAACTAGACAGAAGCAATCTCAGAATCTTCTTTGGGATATATGCACGCAGCTAACAGAGTTGAACCTTTCTATTGACAGAGCAGTTTTGAAACAGTCTTTCTGTGGAATCTGCAAGTGGATATTTGGATAGCTTGGAGGATTTCGTTGGAAACGGGATTACGTATAAAAAATAGACAGCAGCATCCTGAGAAACTTCCTTGTGATGTGTGCATTCAAGTCACAGAGTTGAACATTCCCTTTCGTACAGCAGTTTTGAAACACTCTTTCTGTAGTATCTGGAAGTGAACATTAGGACAGCGTTCAGGTCTATGGTGAGAAAGGAAATATCTTCAAATAAAAAGTAGACAGAAGCATTCTCATCAATTTGTTTGTGATGTGTGAACTCAGCTAACAGAGGTGGATCTTTCTTTTGATAGAGCAGTTCTGAAAAACACTTTTTGTTGAATCTGCAAGTGGACATTTGGATAGATTTGAAGATTTCGTTGGAAACGGGAATATCTTCATATCAAGTCTAGACAGAAGCATTCTCAGAAACGTCTTTGTGATGTTTGCATTCAACTCATAGAGTTGAACATTCCCTTTCAGAGAGCAGCTTTGAAGCACTCTTTTTGTAGTATGTTCAAGTGGACATTTGGAGCGCTTTGAGGCTTACGGGGAAAAAGCAAATATCTTCCCATAACCACTAGACAGAAAACATTCTCAGAAACTCCTTTATGACGTATGCACTCACCTAACAGCAAAAGAACCTTCCTTTTGACAGAGCAGTTTTGATACACTCTTTTTGTAGAATCTGCAAGTGGATATTTGGATAGCTGTGAAGATTTCGTTGGAAACGGGAATATCTTCCTATAAAGTCTAGACAGAAGCATTCTCAGAAACTGCTCTGTGATGTTTGCATTCAAGTCACAGAGTTGAACATTGCCTTTCCTAGAGCAGGTTTGAAACGCTCTTTTTGTACTATATGGAAGTGGACGTTTCGGACGGTTTGAGGCCCATGGTGATAAAGGGAATATCTTCCCCTACAAGCTAGAAAGAAGCATTCTGTGAAACTTGTTTGTGATGTGTGTACTCAACTAACAGAGTTGAACCTTTCTTTTTACAGAGCAGCTTTGAAACACTCTTTTTGTAGAATCTGCGAGGGGATATTTGGATAGATTTCAGGATTTCGTTGGAAACGGGAATATCTTCATATAAAATCTCGACAGAAGCATTCTCAGAACCTTCTTTGTGATATGTGCATTCAAGTCACAGAGTTGAATATTCCCTTTCACAGAGTAGGTTTGAAACACTCTTTTTGTAGTATCTGGAAGTGGACATTTTGAGCACCTTGACGCCTACGGTGAAAAGGGAAATATCTTCTCATAAAAAGTAGACAGAAGCAATCTCAGAATCTTCTTTGGGATATATGCACGCAGCTAACAGAGTTGAACCTTTCTATTGACAGAGCAGTTTTGAAACAGTCTTTCTGTGGAATCTGCAAGTGGATATTTGGATAGCTTGGAGGATTTCGTTGGAAACGGGATTAAGTATAAACAGTAGACAGCAGCATCCTCAGAAACTTCTTTGTGATGTGTGCATTCAAGTCACAGAGTTGAACATTCCCTTTCGTACAGCAGTTTTGAAACACTCTTTCTGTAGTAACTGGAAGTGAACATTAGGACAGCTTTCAGGTACTATGGTGAGAAAGGAAATATCTTCAAATAAAAACTAGACAGAAGCATTCTCATAAACTTGTTTCTGATGTGTGAACTCAGCTAAGAGAGGTGGATCTTTCTTTTGATAGAGAAGTTCTGAAAAACACTTTTTGTTGAATCTGCAAGTGGACATTTGGATAGATTTGAAGATTTCGTTGGAAACGGGAATATCTTCATATCAAATCTAGACAGAAGCATTCTCAGAAACCTCTTTGTGATGTTTGCATTCAACTCATAGAGTTGAACATTCCCTTCCAGAGAGCAGCTTTGAGGCACTCTTTTTGTAGCATGTGCAAGTGGACATTTGGAGCGCCCTGAGGCCTACGGGGAAAAAGCAAATATCTTCCCATAACCACTAGACAGAAACATTCTCAGAAACTCCTTTATGACGTATGCACTCACCTAACAGAGAAGAACCTTCCTTTTGACAGAGCAGTTTTGATACACTCTTTTTGTAGAATATGCAAGTGGATATTTGGATAGCTGTGAAGATTTCGTTGGAAACGGGAATATCTTCCTATAAAATCTAGACAGAAGCATTCTCAGAAACTGCTCTGTGATGTTTGCTTTCATGTCACAGAGTTGAACATTGCCTTTCATAGAGCAGGTTTCAAGCACTCTTTTTTTAGTATATGGAAGTGGACGTTTCGGACGGTTTGAGGCCCATGGTGATAAAGGAAATATCTTCCCCTACAAGCTAGAAAGAAGCATTGTGTGAAACTTATTTGTGATGTGTGTACTCAACTAACAGAGTTGAACCTTTCTTTTTACAGAGCAGTTTTGAAACACTCTTTTTGTACAATCTGCGAGGGGATATTTGGATACATTTCAGGATTTTGTTGGAAACGGGAATATCTTCATATAAAATCTCGACAGAAGCATTCTCAGAAACTTCTTTGTGATATCTGCATTCAAGTCACAGAGTTGAATATTCCCTTTCACAGAGTAGGTTTGAAACACTCTTTTTGTAGTATCTGGAAGTGGACATTTGGAGCGCCTTGACACCTATTGTGAAAAGGGAAATATCTTCCCATAAAAACTAGACAGAAGCAATCTCAGAATTTTCTTTGGGATATATGCACACAGCTAACAGAGTTGAACTTTTCTATTGACAGAGCAGTTTTGAAACAGTCTTTCTGTGGAATCTGCAAGTGGATATTTGGATAGCTTGGAGGATTTCGTTGGAAACGGGATTACGTATAAAAAGTAGACAGCAGCATCCTCAGAAACTTCTTTGTGATGTGTGCATTCAAGTCACAGAGTTGAACATTCCCTTTTGTACAGCAGTTTTGAAACACTCTTTCTGTAGTATCTGGAAGTGAACATTAGGACAGCTTTCAGGTCTATGGTGAGAAAGAAAATATCTTCAAATAAAAACTAGACAAGAAGCATTCTCATAAACTTGTTTGTGATGTGTGAACTCATCTAACAGAGGTGGATCTTTCTTTTGATAGAGCAGTTCTGAAAAACACTTTTTGTTGAATCTGCAAGTGGACATTTGGATAGATTTGAAGATTTCGTTGGAAACGGGAATATCTTCATATAAAATCTAGACAGAAGCATTCTCAGAAACGTCTTTGTGATGTTTGCATTCAACTCATAGAGTTGAACATTCCCTTTCAGAGAGCAGCTTTGAAACACTCTTTTTGTAGTATGTGCAAGTGGATATTTGGAGCGCTCTGAGGCCTAAGGTGAAAAGGCAAATATCTTCCCATAACCACTAGACTTAAACATTCTCAGCAAACTCCTTTATGACGTATGCACTCACCTAACAGAAAAGAACCTTCCTTTTGACAGAGCAGTTTTGATACACTCTTTTTGTAGAATCTGCAAGTGGATATTTGGATAGCTGTGAAGATTTCGTTGGAAACGGGAATATCTTCCTATAAAATCTAGACAGAAGCATTCTCAGAAACTGCTCTGTGATGTCTGCATTCAAGTCACAGAGTTGAACATTGCCTTTCATAGAGCAGGTTTGAAACTCTCTTTTTGTAGTATATGGAAGTGGACGTTTCGGACGGTTTGAGGCCCATGGTGATAAAGGGAATATCTTCCCCTACAAGCTAGAAAGAAGCATTGTGTGAAACTTGTTTGTGATGTGTGTACTCAACTAACAGAGTTGAACCTTTCTTTTTACAGAGCAGTTTTAAAACACTCTTTTTGTAGAATCTGCGAGGGGATATTTGGATACATTTCAGGATTTCGTTGGAAACGGGAATATCTTCATATAAAATCTCGACAGAAGCATTCTCAGAAACTTCTTTGTGATATGTGCATTCAAGTCACAGAGTTGAATATTCCCTTTCACAGAGTAGGTTTGAAACACTCTTTTTGTAGTATTTGGATGTGGACATTTGGAGCGCCTTGACACCTACGGTGAAAAGGGAAATATCTTCCCATAAAAACTAGACAGAAGCAATCTCAGAATCTTCTTTGGGATATATGCACGCAGCAAACAGAGTTGAACCTTTCTATTGACTGAGCAGATTTGAAACAGTCTTTCTGTGGAATCTGCAAGTGGATATTTGGATAGCTTGGAGGATTTCGTTGGAAACGGGATTACGTATAAAAAGTAGACAGCAGCATCCTCAGAAACTTCTTTGTGATGTGTGCATTCAAGTCACAGAGTTGAACATTCCCTTTCGTACAGCAGTTTTGAAACACTCTTTCTGTAGTATCTGGAAGTGAACATTAGGACAGCTTTCAGGTCTATGGTGAGAAAGGAAATATCTTCAACTAAAAACTAGACAGAAGCATTCTCATAAACTTGTTTGTGATGTGTGAACTCAGCTAACAGAGGTGGATCTTTCTTTTGATAGAGCAGTTCTGAAAAACACTTTTTGTTGAATCTGCAAGTGGACATTTCGATAGATTTGAAGATTTCGTTGGAAACGGGAATATCTTCATATCAAATCTAGACAGAAGCATTCTCAGAAACGTCTTTGTGATGTTTGCATTCAACTCATAGAGTTGAACATTCCTTTTCAGAGAGCAGCTTTGAAGCACTCTTTTTGTACTATGTGCAAGTGGATATTTGGAGCGCTCTGAGGCCTACGGTGAAAAAGCAAATATCTTCCCATAACCACTAGACAGAAACATTCTCAGAAACTCCTTTATGACGTATGTACTCACCTAAGAGAGAAGAACCTTCCTTTTGACAGAGCAGTTTTGATACACTCTTTTTGTAGAATCTGCAAGTGGATATTTGGATAGCTGTGAAGATTTCGTTGGAAACGGGAATATCTTCCTATAAAATCTAGACAGAAGCATTCTCAGAAACTGCTCTGTGATGTCTGCATTCAAGTCACAGAGTTGAACATTGCCTTTCATAGAGCAGGTTTGAAACGCTCTTTTTGTAGTATATGGAAGTGGACTTTTCGGACGGTTTGAGGCCCATGGTAATAAAGGGAATATCTTCCCCTACAAGCTAGAAAGAAGCATTCTGTGAAACTTGTTTGTGATGTGTGTACTCAAGTAACAGAGTTGAACCTTTCTTTTTACAGAGCAGTTTTGAAACACTCTTTCTGTAGAATCTGCGAGGGGATATTTGGATAGATTTCAGGATTTCGTTGGAAACGGGAATATCTTCATATAAAACCTCGACAGAAGCATTCTCAGAAACTTCTTTGTGATATGTGCATTCAAGTCACAGAGTTGAATATTCGCTTTCACAGAGTAGGTTTGAAACACTCTTTTTGTAGTATCTGGAAGTGGACATTTGGAGCGCCTTGACGCCTACGGTGAAAAGGGAAATATCTTCCCATAAAAACTAGACAGAAGCAATCTCAGAATCTTCTTTGGGATATATGCACGCAGCTAACAGAGTTGAACCTTTCTATTGACAGAGCAGTTTTGAAACTGTCTTTCTGTGGAATCTGCAAGTGGATATTTGGATAGATTGGAGGATTTCGTTGCAAAGGGGATTACGTATAAAAAGTAGACAGCAGCATCCTCAGAAATCATTCTTTGTGATGTGTGCATTCAAGTCACAGAGTTGAACATTCCCTTTCGTACAGCAGTTTTGAAACACTCTTTCTGTAGTATCTGGAAGTGAACATTAGGACAGCTTTCAGGTCTATGGTGAGAAAGGAAATATCTTCAAATAAAAACTAGATAGAAAGCATTCTCATAAACTTGTTTGTGATGTGTGAACTCAGCTAACAGAGGCGGATCTTTCTTTTGATAGAGCAGTTCGGAAAAACACTTTTTGTTGAATCTGCAAGTGGACATTTGGATAGATTTGAAGATTTCGTTGGAAACGGGAATATCTTCATATCAAATCTAGACAGAAGCATTCTCAGAAACGTCTTTGCGATGTTTGCATTCAACTCATCGAGTTGAACATTCCGTTTCAGAGAGCAGCTTTGAGGCACTCTTTTTGTAGTATGTGCAAGTGGATATTTGGAGCGCTCTGAGGCCTACGGTGAAAAAGCAAATATCTTCCCATAACCACTAGACAGAAACATTCTCAGAAACTCCTTTATGACGTATGCACTCACCTAACAGAAAAGAACCTTCCTTTTGACAGAGCAGTTTAGATACACTCTTTTTGTAGAATCTGCAAGTGGATATTTGGATAGCTGTGAAGATTTCGTTGGAAACGGGAATATCTTCCTATAAAATCTAGACAGAAGCATTCTCAGAAACTGCTCTGTGATGTCTGCATTCAAGTCACAGAGTTGAACATTGCCTTTCATAGAGCAGGTTTGAAACACTCTTTTTGTAGTATATGGAAGTGGACATTTCGGACGGTTTGAGGCCCATGGTGATAAAGGGAATATCTTCCCCTACAAGCTAGAAAGAAGCATTCTGTGAAACTAGTTTGTGATGTGTGTACTCAACTAACAGAGTTGAACCTTTCTTTTTACAGAGCAGTATTGAAACACTCTTTTTGAAGAATCTGCGAGGGGATATTTGGATAGATTTCAGGATTTCGTTGGAAACGGGAATATCTTCATATAAAATCTCGACAGAAGCATTCTCAGAAACTTCTTTGTGATATCTGCATTCAAGTCACAGAGTTGAATATTCCCTTTCACAGAGTAGGTTTGAAACACTCTTTTTGTAGTATCTGGAAGTGGACATTTGGAGCACCTTGACACCTACGGTGAAAAGGGAAATATCTTCCCATAAATACTAGACAGAAGCAATCTCAGAATCTTCTTTGGGATATATGCACGCAGCTAACAGAGTTGAACCTTTCTATTGACAGAGCAGTTTTGAAACAGTCTTTCTGTGGAATCTGCAAGTGGACATTTGGATAGCTTGGAGGATTTCGTTGGAAACGGGATTACGTATAAAAAGTAGACAGCAGCATCCTCAGAAACTTCTTTGTGATGTGTGCATTCAAGTCACAGAGTTGAACATTCCCTTTCGTACAGCAGTTTTGAAACACTCTTTCTGTAGTATCTGGAAGTGAACACTAGGACAGCTTTCAGGTCTATGGTGAGAAAGGAAATATCTTCAAATAAAAACTAGACAGAAGCATTCTCATAAACTTGTTTGTGATGTGTGAACTCAGCTAACATAGGTGGATCTTTCTTTTGATAGAGCAGTTCTGAAAAACACTTTTTGTTGAATCTGCAAGTGGACATTTGGATAGATTTGAAGATTTCGTTGGAAACGGGAATATCTTCATATCAAATCTAGACAGAAGCATTCTCAGAAACGTCTTTGCGATGTTTGCATTCAACTCATAGAGTTGAACATTCCCTTTCAGAGAGCAGCTTTGAGGCACTCTTTTTGTAGTATGTGCAAGTGGATATTTGGAGCGCTCTGAGGCCTACGGTGAAAAAGCAAATATCTTCCCATAACCACTAGACAGAAACATTCTCAGAAACTTCTTTATGACGTATGTACTCAACTAGCAGAGAAGAACTTTCCTTTTGACAGAGCATTTTTGATACATTCTTTTTGTAGTATCTGCAAGTGGATATTTGGATAGCTGTGAAGATTTCCTTGGAAACGGGAATATCTTCCTATAAAGTCTGGACAGAAGCATTCTCAGAAACTGCTCTGTGATGTCTGCATTCAAGTCACAGAGTTGAACATTGCCTTTCATAGAGCAGGTTTCAAACACTCTTTTTTTAGTATATGGAAGTGGACGTTTCGGATGGTTTGAGGCCCATGGTGATAAAGGAAATATCTTCCCCTACAAGCTAGAAAGAAGCATTCTGTGAAACTTGTTTGTGATGTGTGTACTCAACTAATAGAGTTGAACCTTTCTTTTTACAGAGCAGTTTTGAAACACTCTTTTTGTAGAATCTGCGAGGGGATATTTGGATAGATTTCAGGATTTCGTTGGAAACGGGAATATCTTCATAGAAAATCTCGACAGAAGCATTCTCAGAAACTTCCTTGTGATATGTGCATTCAAGTCACAGAGTTGAATATTCCCTTTCACAGAGTAGGTTTGAAACACTCTTTTTGTAGTATCCGGAAGTGGACATTTGGAGCGCCTTGACGCCCACGGTGAAAAGGGAAATATCTTCCCATAAAAACTAGACAGAAGCAATCTCAGAATCTTCTTTGGGATATATGCACGCAACTAACAGAGTTGAACCTTTCTATTGACAGAGCAGTTTTGAAACAGTCTTTCTGTGGAATCTGCAAGTGGATATTTGGATAGCTTGGAGGATTTCGTTGGAAACGGGATTAGGTATAAAAAGTAGACAGCAGCATCCTCAGAAACTTCTTTGTGATGTGTGCATTCAAGTCACAGAGTTGAACATTCCCTTTCGTACAGCAGTTTTGAAACACTCTTTCTGTAGTATCTGGAAGTGAACATTAGGACAGCTTTCAGGTCTATGGTGAGAAAGGCAATATCTTCAAATAAAAACTAGACAGAAGCATTCTCATAAACTTGTTTGTGATGTGTGAACTCAGCTAACAGACGTGGATCTTTCTTTTGATACAGCAGTTTCGAAAAACACTTTTTGTTGAATCTGCAAGTGGACATTTGGATAGATTTGAAGATTTCGTTGGAAACGGGAATATCTTCATATCAAATCTAGACAGAAGCATTCTCAGAAACGTCTTTGTGATGTTTGCATTCAACTCATAGAGTTGAACATTCCGTTTCAGAGAGCAGCTTTGAAGCACTCTTTTTGTAGTATGTGCAAGTGGATATTTGGAGCGCTCTGAGGCCTACGGTGAAAAAGAAAATATCTTCCCATAACCACTAGACAGAAACATTCTCAGAAACTCCTTTATGACGTATGTACTCAACTAACAGAGAAGAACCTTCCTTTTGAAAGAGCAGTTTTGATACACTCTTTTTGTAGAATCTGCAAGTGGATATTTGGATAGCTGTGAAGATTTCTTTGGAAACGGGAATATCTTCCTATAAAATCTAGACAGAAAGCATTCTCAGAAACTGCTCTGTGATGTCTGCATTCAAGTCACAGAGTTGAACATTGCCTTTCATAGAGCAGGTTTGAAACGCTCTTTTTGTAGTATATGGAAGTGGATGTTTCGGACGGTTGGAGGCCCATGGTGATAAAGGGAATATCTTCCCCTACAAGCTAGAAAGAAGCATTGTGTGAAACTTGTTTGTGATGTGTGTACTCAACTAACAGAGTTGAACCTTTCTTTTTACAGAGCAGTTTTGAAACAATCTTTTTGTAGAATCTGCGAGGGGATATTTGGATAGATTTCAGGATTTCGTTGGAAACGGGAATATCTTCATATAAAATCTCGACAGAAAGCATTCTCAGAAACTTCTTTGTGATATGTGCATTCAAGTCACAGAGGTGAATATTCCCTTTCACAGAGTAGGTTTGAAACACTCTTTTTGTAGTATCTGGAAGTGGACATTTGGAGCGCCTTGACGCCTACGGTGAAAAGGGAAATATCTTCCCATAAAAACTAGACAGAAGCAATCTCAGAATCTTCTTTGGGATATATGCACGCAGCTAACAGAGTTGAACCTTTCTATTGACAGAGCAGTTTTGAAACAGTCTTTCTGTGGAATCTGCAAGTGGATATTTGGATAGCTTGGAGGATTTCGTTGGAAACGGGATTACGTATAAAAAGTAGACAGCAGCATCCTCAGAACCTCCTTTTGATGTGTGCATTCAAGTCACAGAGTTGAACATTCCCTTTCGTACAGCAGTATTGAAACACTCTTTCTGTAGTATCTGGAAGTGAACATTAGGACAGCTTTCAGGTCTATGGTGAGAAAGGAAATATCTTCAAATAAAAACTAGACAGAAGCATTCTCATAAACTTGTTTGTGATGTGTGAACTCAGCTAACAGAGGTGGATCTTTCTTTTGATAGAGCAGTTCGGAAAAACACTTTTTGTTGAATCTCCAAGTGGACATTTGGATAGATTTGAAGATTTCGTTGGAAACGGGAATATCTTTATATCAAATCTAGACAGAAGGCATTCTCAGAAACGTCTTTGTGATGTTTGCATTCAACTCATAGAGTTGAACATTCCCTTTCAGAGAGCAGCTTTGAAGCACTCTTTTTGTAGTATGTGCAAGGGGATATTTGGAGCGCTCTGAGGCCTAAGGTGAAAAAGCAAATATCTTCCCATAACCACTAGACAGAAACATTCTCAGAAACTCCTTTATGACGTATGCACTCACCTAACAGAGAAGAACCTTCCTTTTGACAGAGCAGTTTTGATACACTCTTTTTGTAGAATCTGCAAGTGGATATTTGGATTGCTGTGAAGATTTCGTTGGAAACGGGAATATCTTCCTATAAAATCTAGACAGAAGCATTCTCAGAAACTGCTCTGTGATGTCTGCATTCAAGTCACAGAGTTGAACATTGCCGTTCATAGAGCAGGTTTGAAACACTCTTTTTGTAATATATGGAAGTGGACGTTTCGGACGGTTTGAGGCCCATGGTGATAAAGGGAATATCTTCCCATACAAGCTAGAAAGAAGCATTGTGTGAAACTTGTTTGTGATGTGTGTACTCAACTAACAGAGTTGAACCTTTCTTTTTACAGAGTAGTTTTGAAACACTCTTTTTGTAGAATCTGCGAGGGGATATTTGGATACATTTCAGGATTTCGTTGGAAACGGGAATATCTTCATATAAAATCTCGACAGAAGCATTCTCAGAAACTTCTTTGTGATATGTGCATTCAAGTCACAGAGTTGAATATTCCCTTTCACAGAGTAGGTTTGAAACACTCTTTTTGTAGTATCTGGAAGTGGACATTTGGAGCGCCTCGACGCCTACCCTGAAAAGGGAAATATCTTCCCATAAAAACTAGACAGAAGCAATCTCAGAATCTTCTTTGGGATATATGCACGCAGCTAACAGAGTTGAACCTTTCTATTGACAGAGCAGTTTTGAAACAGTCTTTCTGTGGAATCTGCAAGTGGATATTTGGATAGCTTGGAGGATTTCGTTGGTAACGGGATTACGTATAAAAATTAGACAGCAGCATCCTCAGAAACTTCCTTGTGATGTGTGCATTCAAGACACAGAGTTGAACATTCCCTTTCGTACAGCAGTTTTGAAACACTCTTTCTGTAGTATCTGGAAGTGAACATTAGGAGAGCTTTCAGGTCTATAATTAGAAAGGAAATATCTTCAAATAAAAACTAGACAGAAGCATTCTCATAAACTTGTTTGTGATGTGTGAACTCAGCTAACAGAGGTGGATATTTCTTTTGATAGAGCAGTTCTGAAAAACACTTTTTGTTGAATCTGCAAGTGGACATTTGGATAGATTTGAAGATTTCGTTGGAAACGGGAATATCTTCATATCAAATCTAGACAGAAGCATTCTCAGAAACGTCTTTGCGATGTTTGCATTCAACTCATAGAGTTGAACATTCCGTTTCAGAGAGCAGCTTTGAGGCACTCTTTTTGTAGTATGTGCAAGTGGATATTTGGAGCGCTCTGAGGCCTACGGTGAAAAAGCAAATATCTTCCCATAACCACTAGTCAGAAACATTCTCAGAAACTCCTTTATGACGTATGCACTCACCTAACAGAGAAGAACCTTCCTTTTGACAGAGCAGTTTTGATACACACTTTTTGTAGAATCTGCAAGTGGATATTTGGATAGCTGTGAAGATTTCGTTGGAAACGGGAATATCTTCCTATAAAATCTAGAAAGAAGCATTCTCAGAAACTGCTCTGTGATGTCTGCATTCAAGTCACAGAGTTGAACATTGCCTTTCATAGAGCAGGTTTGAAACGCTCTTTTTGTAGTATATGGAAGTGGACGTTTCGGACGGTTGGAGGCCCATGGTGATAAAGGGAATATCTTCCCCTACAAGCTAGAAAGAAGCATTCTGTGAAACTTGTTTGTGATGTGTGTACTCAACTAACAGAGTTGAACCTTTCTTTTTACAGAGCAGTTTTGAAACACTCTTTTTGTAGAATCTGCGAGGGGATATTTGGATAGATTTCAGGATTTGGTTGGAAACTGGAATATCTTCATATAAAATCTCGACAGAAGCATTCTCAGAAACTTCTTTGTGATATGTGCATTCAACTCACAGAGTTGAATATTCCCTTTCACAGAGTAGGTTTGAAACACTCTTTTTGTAGTATCTGGAAGTGGACATTTGGAGCGCCTTGACGCCTACGGTGAAAAGGGAAATATCTTCCCATAAAAACTAGACAGAAGCAATCTCAGAATCTTCTTTGGGATATATGCACGCAGCTAACAGAGTTGAACCTTTCTATTGACAGAGCAGTTCTTAAACAGTCTTTCTGTGGAATCTGCAAGTGGATATTTGGATAGCTTGGAGGATTTCGTTGGAAACGGGATTACGTATAAAAAGTAGACAGCAGCATCCTCAGAAACTTCTTTGTGATGTGTGCATTCAAGTCACAGAGTTGAACATTCCCTTTCATACAGCAGTTTCTGAAACACTCTTTCTGTAGTATCTGGAAGTGAACTTTAGGACAGCTTTCAGGTCTATAGTGAGAAAGGATATATCTTCAAATAAAAACTAGACAGAAGCATTCTCATAAACTTGTTTGTGATGTGTGAACTCAGCTAACAGACGTGGATCTTTCTTTTGATACAGCAGTTTTGTAAAACACTTTTTGTTGAATCTGCAAGTAGACATTTGGATAGATTTGAAGATTTCGTTGGAAACGGGAATATCTTCATATCAAATCTAGACAGAAGCATTCTCAGAAACGTCTTTGCGATGTTTGCATTCAACTCATAGAGTTGAACATTCCGTTTCAGAGAGCAGCTGTGAGGCACTCTTTTTGTAGTATGTGCAAGTGGATATTTGGAGCGCTCTGAGGCCTACGGTGAAAAAGCAAATATCTTCCCATAACCACTAGACAGAAACATTCTCAGATACTCCTTTATGACGTATGCACTCACCTAACAGAGAAGAACCTTCCTTTTGACAGAGCAGTTTTGATACACTCTTTTTGTAGAATCTGCAAGTGGATATTTGGATAGCTGTGAAGATTTCGTTGGAAACGGGAATATCTTCCTATAAAATCTAGACAGAAGCATTCTCAGAAACTGCTCTGTGATGTCTGCATTCAAGTCACAGAGTTGAACATTGACTTTCGTAGAGCAGGTTTGAAACGCTCTTTTTGTAGTATATAAAAGTGGACGTTTCGGACGGTTTGAGGCCCATGGTGATAAAGGGAATATCTTCCCCTACAAGCTAGAAAGAAGCATTCTGTGAAACTTGTTTGTGATGTGTGTACTCAACTAACAGAGTTGAATCTTTCTTTTTACAGAGCAGTTTTGAAACACTCTTTTTGTAGAATCTGCGAGGGGATATTTGGATAGATTTCAGGATTTCGTTGGAAACGGGAATATCTTCATATAAAATCTCGACAGAAGCATTCTCAGAAACTTCTTTGTGATATCTGCATTCAAGTCACAGAGTTGAATACTCCCTTTCACAGAGTAGGTTTGAAACACTCTTTTTGTAGTATCTGGAAGTGGACATTTGGAGCGCCTTGACGCCTACGGTGAAAAGGGAAATATCTTCCCATAAAAACTAGACAGAAGTAATCTCAGAAACTTCTTTGGGATATATGCACGCAGCTAACAGAGTTGAACCTTTCTATTGACAGAGCAGTTTTGAAACAGTCTTTCTGTGGAATCTGCAAGTGAATATTTGGATAGTTTGGAGGATTTCGTTGGAAACGGGATTACGTATAAAAAGTAGACAGCAGCATCCTCAGAAACATCCTTGTGATGTGTGCATTCAAGTCACAGAGTTGAACATTCCCTTTCGTACAGCAGTTTTGAAACACTCTTTCTGTAGTAACTGGAAGTGAACATTAGGACAGCTTTCAGGTCTATGGTGAGAAAGGAAATATCTTCAAATAAAAACTAGACGGAAGCATTCTCATAAACTTGTTTGTGATGTGTGAACTCAGCTAACAGAGGTGGAACTTTCTTTTGATAGAGCAGTTCTGAAAAACACTTTTTGTTGAATCTGCAAGTGGACATTTGGATAGATTTGAAGATTTCGTTGGAAACGGGAATATCTTCATATCAAATCTAGACAGAAGCATTCTCAGAAACGTCTTTTGTGATGTTTGCATTCAACTCATAGAGTTGAACATTCCGTTTCAGAGAGCAGCTTTGAGGCACTCTTTTTGTAGTATGTGCAAGTGGATATTTGGAGCGCTCTGAGGCCTTCGGTGAAAAAGCAAATATCTTCCCATAACCACTAGACAGAAACATTCTCAGAAACTACTTTATGACGTATGTACTCAACTAACAGAGAAGAACCTTCCTTTTGACAGAGCAGTTTTGATACACTCTTTTTGTAGAATCTGCAAGTGTATATTTGGATAACTGTGAAGATTTCGTTGGAAACGGGAGTATCTTCCTATAAAATCTAGACAGAAGCATTCTCAGTAAACTGCTCTGTGATGTCTGCATTCAAGTCACAGAGTTGAACATTGCCTTTCCTAGAGCAGGTTTGAAACGCTCTTTTTGTAGTATATGGAAGTGGACGTTTCGGACGGTTGGAGGCCCATGGTGATAAAGGGAATATCTTCCCCTACAAGCTAGAAAGAAGCATTCTGTGAAACTTGTTTGTGATGTGTGTACTCAACTAACAGGGTTGAACCTTTCTTTTTACAGAGCAGTTTTGAAACAATCTTTTTGTAGAATCTGCGAGGGGATATTTGGATAGATTTCAGGATTTCGTTGGAAACGGGAATATCTTCATATAAAATCTCGACAGAAGCATTCTCAGAAACTTCTTTGTGATATCTGCCTTTAAGTCACAGAGTTGAATATTCCCTTTCACAGAGTAGGTTTGAAACACTCTTTTTGTAGTATCTGGAAGTGGACATTTGGAGCCCCTTGACACCTACGGTGAAAAGGGAAATATCTTCCCATAAAAACTAGACAGAAGCAATCTCAGAATCTTCTTTGGGATATATGCACGCAGTTAACAGAGTTGAACCTTTCTATTGACAGAGCAGTTTTGAAACAGTCTTTCTGTGGAATCTGCAAGTGGATATTTGGATAGATTGGAGGATTTCGTTGGAAACGGGATTACGTATAAAAAGTAGACAGCAGCATCCTCAGAAACTTCTTTGTGATGTGTGCATTCAAGTCACAGAGTTGAACATTCCCTTTCGTACAGCAGTTTTGAAACACTCTTTCTGTAGTATCTGGAAGTGAACATTATGACAGCTTTCAGCTCTATGGTGAGAAAGGAAATATCTTCAAATAAAAACTAGACAGAAGCATTCTCATAAACTTGTTTGTGATGTGTGAACTCAGCTAACAGAGGTGGATCTTTCTTTTCATAGAGCAGTTCTGAAAAACACTTTTTGTTGAATCTGCAAGTGGACATTTGGATAGATTTGAAGATTTCGTTGGAAACGGGAATATCTTCATATCAAATCTAGACAGAAGCATTCTCAGAAACGTCTTTGTGATGTTTGCATTCAACTCATAGAGTTGAACATTCCGTTTCAGAGAGCAGCTTTGAAGCACTCTTTTTGTAGTATGTGCAAGTGGATATTTGGAGCGCTCTGAGGCCTACGGTGAAAAAGCAAATATCTTCCCATAACCACTATACAGAAACATTCTCAGAAACTCCTTTATGACGTATGCACTCACCTAACAGAGAAGAACCTTCCTTTTGACAGAGCAGTTTTGATACACTCTTTTTGTAGAATCTGCAAGTGGATATTTGGATAGCTGTGAAGATTTCTTTGGAAACGGGAATATCTTCCTATAAAATCTAGACAGAAGCATTCTCAGGAACTGCTCTGCCGATGTCTGTATTCAAGTCACAGAGTTGAACATTGCCTTTCATAGAGCAGGTTTGAAACGCTCTTTTTGTAGTATATGGAAGTGGACGTTTCGGACGGTTTGAGGCCCATGGTGATAAAGGGAATATCTTCCCCTACAAGCTAGAAAGAAGCATTCTGTGAAACTTGTTTGTGATGTGTGTACTCAACTAACAGAGTTGAACCTTTCTTTTTACAGAGCAGTTTTGAAACACTCTTTTTGTAGAATCTGCGAGGGGATATTTTGATACATTTCAGCATTTCATTGGAAACGGGAATATCTTCATATAAAATCTCGACAGAAGCATTCTCAGAAACTTATTTGTGATATGTGCATTCAAGTCACAGAGTTGAATATTCCCTTTCACAGAGTAGGTTTGAAACACTCTTTTTGTAGTATCTGGAAGTGGACATTTGGAACGCCTTGACACCTATGGTGAAAAGGGAAATATCTTCCCATAAAAACTAGACAGAAGCAATCTCAGAATCTCCTTTGGGATATATGCACGCAGCTAACAGAGTTGAACCTTTCTATTGACAGAGCAGTTTTGAAACAGTCTTTCTGTGGAATCTGCAAGTGGATATTTGGATAGCTTGGAGGATTTCGTTGGAAACGGGATTACGTATAAAAAGTAGACAGCAGCATCCTCAGAAACTTCTTTGTGATGTGTGCATTCAAGTCACAGTAGTTGAACATTCCCTTTCGTACAGCAGTTTTGAAACACTCTTTCTGTAGTAACTGGAAGTGAACATTAGGACAGCTTTCAGGTCTATGGTGAGAAAGGAAATATCTTCAAATAAAAACTAGACAAAAGCATTCTCATAAACTTGTTTGTGATGTGTGAACTCAGCTAACAGAGGTGGATCTTTCTTTTGATAGAGCAGTTCTGAAAAACACTTTTTGTTGAATCTGCAAGTGGACATTTGGATAGATTTGAAGATTTCGTTGGAAACGGGAATATCTTTATATCAAATCTAGACAGAAGCATTCTCAGAAACGTCTTTGTGATGTTTGCATTCAACTAATAGAGTTGAACATTCCGTTTCAGAGAGCAGCTTTGAGGCACTCTTTTTGTAGTATGTGCAAGTGGATATTTGGAGCGCTCTGAGGCCTACGGTGAAAAAGCAAATATCTTCCCATAACCACTAGACAGAAACATTCTCAGAAACTCCTTTATGACGTATGCACTCACCTAACAGAGAAGAACCTTCCTTTTGACACAGCAGTTTTGATACACTCTTTTTGTAGAATCTGCAAGTGGATATTTGGATAGCTGTGAAGATTTCGTTGGAAACGGGAATATCTTCCTATAAAATCTAGACAGAAGCATTCTCAGAAACTGCTCTGTGATGTCTGCATTCAAGTCACACAGTTGAACATTGCCTTTCATAGAGCAGGTTTGAAACGCTCTTTTTGTAGTATATGGAAGTGGATGTTTCGGACGGTTGGAGGCCCATGGTGATAAAGGGAATATCTTCCCCTACAAGCTAGAAAGAAGCATTCTGTGAAACTTGTTTGTGATGTGTGTACTCAATTAACAGAGTTGAACCTTTCTTTTTACAGAGCAGTTTTGAAACACTCTTTTTGTAGAATCTGTGAGGGGATATTTGGATAGATTTCAGGATTTTGTTGGAAACGGGAATATCTTCATATAAAATCTCGACAGAAGCAATCTCAGAATCTTCTTTGGGATGTATGCACGCAGCTAACAGAGTTGAACCTTTCTATTGACAGAGCAGTTTTGAAAGAGTCTTTCTGTGGAATCTGCAAGTGGATATTTGGATAGCTTGGAGGATTTCGTTGGAAACGGGATTACGTATAATAAGTAGACAGCAGCATCCTCAGAAACTTCTTTGTGATGTGTGCATTCAAGTCACAGAGTTGAACATTCCCTTTCGTACAGCAGTTTTGAAACACTCTTTCTGTAGTATCTGGAAGTGAACATTAGGACAGCTTTCAGGTTTATGGTGAGAAAGGAAATATCTTCAAATAAAAACTAGACAGAAGCATTCTCATAAACTTGTTTGTGATGTGTGAACTCAGCTAACAGACGTGGATCTTTCTTTTGATAGAGCAGTTCTGAAAAACACTTTTTGTTGAATCTGCAAGTGGACATTTGGATAGATTTGAAGATTTCGTTGGAAACGGGAATATCTTCATATCAAATCTAGACAGAAGCATTCTCAGAAACGTCTTTGTGATGTTTGCATTCAACTCATAGAGTTGAACATTCCCTTTCAGAGAGCAGCTTTGAAGCACTCTTTTTGTAGTCTGTGCAAGTGGATATTTGGAGCGCTCTGAGGCCTACGGTGAAAAAGCAAATATCTTCCCATAACCACTAGACAGAAACATTCTCAGAAACTCCTTTATGACGTATGCACTTACCTAACAGAGAAGAACCTTCCTTTTGACAGAGCAGTTTTGATACACTCTTTTTGTAGAATCTGCAAGTGGATATTTGGATAGCTGTGAAGATTTCGTTGGAAACGGGAATATCTTCCTATAAAATCTAGACAGAAGCATTCTCAGAAACTGCTCTGTGATGTCTGCATTCAAGTCACAGAGTTGAACATTGCCTTTCATAGAGCAGGTTTCAAACACTGTTTTTTTAGTATGTGGAAGTGGACGTTTCGGACGGTTTGAGAACCATGGTGATAAAGGAAATATCTTCCCCTACAAGCTAGAAAGAAGCATTCTGTGAAACTTGTTTGTGATGTGTGTAGTCAACTAACAGAGTTGAACCTTTCTTTTTACAGAGCAGTTTTGAAACACTCTTTTTGTAGAATCTGCGAGGGGATATTTGGATAGATTTCAGGATTTCGTTGGAAACGGGAATATCTTCATATAAAATCTCGACAGAAGCATTCTCAGAAACTTCTTTGTGATATGTGCATTCAAGTCACAGAGTTGAATATTCCCTTTCACAGAGTAGGTTTGAAACACTCTTTTTGTAGTATCTGGAAGTGGACATTTGGCGCGCCTTGACACCTACGGTGAAAAGGGAAATATCTTCCCATAAAAACTAGACAGAAGCAATCTCAGAATCTTCTTTGGGATATATGCACGCAGTTATCAGAGTTGAACCTTTCTATTGACAGAGCAGTTTTGAAACAGTCTTTCTGTGGAATCTGCAAGTGGATATTTGGATAGCTTGGAGGATTTCGTTGGAAACGGGATTACGTATAAAAAGTAGACAGCAGCATCCTCAGAAACTTCTTTGTGATGTGTGCATTCAAGTCACAGCAGTTGAACATTCCCTTTCATACAGCAGTTTTGAAACACTCTTTCTGTAGTAACTGGAAGTGAACATTAGGACAGCTTTCAGGTCTATGGTGAGAAAGGAAATATCTTCAAATAAAAACTAGACAGAAGCATTCTCATAAACTTGTTTGTGATGTGTGAACTCGGCTAACACAGGTGGATCTTTCTTTTGATTGAGCAGTTCTGAAAAACACTTTTTGTTGAATCTGCAAGTGGACATTTGGATAGATTTGAAGATTTCGTTGGAAACGGGAATATCTTCATATCAAATCTAGAGAGAAGCATTCTCAGAAACGTCTTTGTGATGTTTGCATTCAACTCATAGAGTTGAACATTCCCTTTCAGAGATCAGCTTTGAAGCACTCTTTTTGTAGCATGTGCAAGTGGACATTTGGAGCGCCCTGAGGCCTACGGGGAAAAAGCAAATATCTTCCCATAACCACTAGACAGAAACATTCTCAGAAACTCCTTTATGACGTATGTACTCAACTAACAGAGAAGAACCTTCCTTTTGACAGAGCATTTTTGATACACTCTTTTTGTAGAATCTGCAAGTGGATATTTGGATAGCTGTGAAGATTTCATTGGAAACGGGAATATCTTCCTATAAAATCTAGACAGAAGTATTCTCAGAAACTGCTCTGTGATGTCTGCATTCAAGTCACAGAGTTGAACATTGCCTTTCATAGAGCAGGTTTGAAACCCTCTTTTTGTAGTATATGGAAGTGGACGTTTCGGACGGTTTGAGGCCCATGGTGATAAAGGGAATATCTTCCCCTACCA